>NC_000003.12:165069210-165220725 GCF_000001405.40 Homo sapiens | reverse complement strand
ATTTAGGCCTTTTCCTCAAATACTGGTCATCAGGAATCCATGCATTTATTTGCAGATTCTGTTTTAAATATTGTTGATTTAAAATTATATAAGTATATTTTATTATTTTCTGCATTTAAAATGACAAATACATTACATAACATTTTGATACTATAAAATGTGATAGAAAAAGGCATCAATCATAATTACCATTTTAAAGAAAACTATCATTTTGGTGTTAAAACTGAGATTTTGGTGTTCTCTATATCGATAGTTAGGTCTATACCTAGATCTACATCTACTATATATAGTCATATTTTATATTCAAATCTGTATCCTGTTTTTATCACTTAACATTATTTTATCACTCAGCAATCATTTTTCCTGTAAATGGAATCCAACAAATGAAATATAATTTACCTTGCCATATCTTGTGGTAGGATTATATTTGAAGGTTTTATCTGGGAAAGGTGGAAAATAATGTACGTAAGTCTTGTTTCTATAGCACTCTATGAAAATAAAAAGACCTTTAAGCAAAAGGGAGCTGGGGAAAGCACTGAAGAGAAAATCCATAGCACTACATAATTCCATTATCTCTGAACCTGACCTGCTCACATTTTTACTAATGACTTGGATAAATATGACTGATAACTGTGTAGATGGCATAAAACTGGTAGAAATAACAAATATGTTGCATGATGAAATCATAGTCCAAAAGGATCAAGCAGGTTGAAATGATTGGCTAAGCCAAAGAAGGGTATACTTTTAAAAGGATGAATATAAATTTTCACATTTTGGATTTTTTAAAAATCACTAATATAAGATATGATATGTGAAATGAGTTTTTAAAAAATTGCTAATACATGATATGAAATATTAACAGAAAGTTCATGCAAAATAAAAACAACAAGCTATAAGAGACAATAGCATCATCTGGCTGACAAAGAAGCTAACGCAATAATAACTATGACCAAAAAATACTATGACCAAACTGTGGAAATTGACGGCCCGTTTTCCTCTAAACTAGAAGTCATACATTGAGTTTGTTCATTTCTCTTCTCCATACCTTAAGAATATGTAAAATGGCTGCAGTTCAATAGGAAGTACTCATGATGCAAGAAATGTCAAAATATAACATATAAAAGAAGGTTGAAAATTATAAAGATATTTAGTCAGGGCATAAGAATATTGAATTTTAAAAATTAATTTAATAGTTACATTAAAATATGTGGAGGGATTTAGAAAGAATTCTATTTGTCCTGATATGCATGTTTTCTGTTCCACAAAAGCAAAATTAGGACAAAAGAAATACTATTATGGAAAAATGAATTGTGGCTCAATACAAGCAATTTGGCTGATATGTAACAGTATATAACAACAATAATAACATACAACATTTGAAAGTATTCAAACATAAGATGAGCTGACTCAATCTATCTCATGTGATTAGGAATTTTCAGTCTCCAGACCTGTTCAATAAAAAATTAGATAACATATAATCATCTACATTCTTCCCCTGCAGAATCTCATATATTCACATTGCTTAGGTTGCCGCTACTGATGAGTCTAATATTGATTTCAAGCCTTGTCTGTCTCCTAAATTCTAGACACACAACATCAATATCTTCTTTGTTGTCTCTATACCAGTGGTTCTCAGTTGGGTGCAATTTTGTCCCTGCTTCAGGGCAGACTTGGAAAAATCTGGAGATATTTTTTGGTTGGCACAACTGAGAGAGGTACTACTGACATCTGGTGAGTACAGTCCATAAACATTGTTAAGAATCCTACAATGTACAAAATAACCCCCCACCCCCAAAAAGGCATTATCCATCTCAATGTGTCAATATGACCAAGATTGACAAACACTGCTCTACATGTATGTCCAACAGGTAACAAACTCAGCATGACAAACTCCAAACACATGATCTCCACTCCACTCTCCTGCTTCTCCCTTAAAATCCCAGTCATCCCTTCAATAAAGCTTAGTTGCTATAAATTACTATGACGAATGCCACTGTTAGGTAGCCAACTACATGAGTTAGAAATCTCAGAGTTATCCTTAACTCCTTACTTTCCCTCATCTCTTAATGCCAGATTCTATTTATCTACTTCTAAAATGTATTTCTAAATCCACACCCGCCTTTTCATTACTGCTGCCACTGACAGTTTGGTCCCACACTTTCTACCAATAAGATTTTTATTTCAAACTCATCTTTCACATCGTTGCCAGGATTATATTTTTAAAACAAAAAAGCAATTGTCTCATTATCCCATGCAGAAACTATAGGTAAACCTCTTTTGTCCAGTGAATAAATGTTCAAGCTTTGAATTGCAATGGAAGATGGAGTGGGAGTATCATTGTGTTTGTTACCATTTTCTAATGGAGTGTTACAACTTCTTCAGGGAAGATTAAAAATGTAATAGTCCTTTGATGATAGCACAGAAAGGAAAACAAATGTTTGACTAATGCCTGTAGCCAGGGTAAAATCATTAAACATACAGATGTTTAAATGTTAAGTATGAAGTTAAGAAAGACCACATGAAATAGATTTGAGCATGCACTGCACTGCACTGAACATATTAAAAGTATACAAGTATTGAAATTATTTTCAATAAGGTAGAAAAAGAGGCATGTGCACAAAATAATGCACCCAAATCTTTTAAATTTGCCTTTGGAATTTTGATTGATTTATACCCAGTCATACACACAGACACTCAGTCTTCCTCTCCACGTTTAAGCCGAATCCTTCCTAAGGAGACCATGCTGTTGGCAGCAAAAAAACAAAGTTAGGTGTTCCAGGGAAGCAAGTCTGGGGTTACAGCCAAATCTCCACAAAGCAGAGAGTTCTCTAAATAATAAAGAGTTGACTGTGATGGCAAAAGTCTTCTTGCAGGTGCAGATGCATGTATTTTGGAATACAAATAAACCCTTTCAGCTGCTTTCCCTATCCCACTATCACCACCTTATTCTCATAGTGTTCTGATCTTACTGGCATTCTTAACTCAGGGATCTCTTTACTCCAACTTAGTCCAGGTGTGGGGTAGAATATGAAAACGATGAAAATAAGGGAGGATTTTGATAGAAATAAACACATAATAACAAAATAAAAATTGGAGAAAAGGGGCAATAAAGACCCTTCTGCTATAAAGGGCTTTATGTTTGCTTCAAAAGTATAATTGATGAATACTATTTAGAGTTAATATCTGAAAACCAACCTTAATGCATACATTGCTGACATTTGGGCTAGTAAGTAAATGAAATGGAGCCCAGACATCAGTTAAGATATCTGTGCTATCACTGAATTAAAAAAAAAATTCCTGAACTTTGGCTGAAATTGTTTTGTTTTCATCAATCTCCTGCATTTCACATTTATCTTTGTAATTAACTAGTTTTGACATAATCTAATTTCTTACCAGAGCCTAAGAAACTGTTGCACAAGGAAAGTTTGGAACATTTCATTTCCAACCTGCCAAACAAAAATTGTCTCCTTAACAGTTCTTTTTATTATAAAATCCAAATCAGTAATGGATCTACTTAAGTACTGTTTTAGGCAAAATTAAGCAGAGTAATTTCTCAAGCTCTGCAGTATGCTTATCAGTCACAAATGAAAGTTAAAAATACAGCCAACTGATTTGCACAGCTTCATTTTCTGATCTCTAGCCTAATAATTATACAAATACAGATTTGTATTATTCTTCCCAATGTTATGTAGATCATCAAATCAGACAGATAGCATCCTTTTCTTATGGGTAAAATTTTTTTATGTCTCACAAACTCAATATATAATCTGTTTAGCCATTTGTAACTTGCCCAATATTGCAGTACTGACAAACAAAAGCTAGGGTGATTCTCCAGTTTTATCTTCCAGAAACATTTCAACATGAAAGATTGAAACAATTTAAAAATATATGTGAAAAGCAGAAAATTATTGATTCTGAAAATGTAACAGTAAATATTAAAAGTTTCTCAAATTGATGTATAAAATTATAAATGTACTTTGAATAATTTATCATAATGATTTGCACTCATGCTGAATAAATGAGTACAGATTTGAAAACAGTTCATGAAAAAGTCTACAGCGAATCTAATTTAATCTAATCTAATATAGCAAATCCACCATAGCTGGTCTATAGTGAATCTAATTTCCTGTGTGTGAGATACCCATATAATAATCTCCCTTTGACACTGACTAAAAGATTCTGCATAGAAAGTAGCAATCAATGAGACTCCAGCAAACTTACCATCCTAAAAATCCATAAATATGCCAGAAGAGAAGATGACTTACTAAATGATAAGAATGAGAGAAGAAACATGGAAAACTCACTAGATGGTGCAAAATTATGGTTAAGTTACTGAAGTATAAATTGAAGGAAGAGACATCAGGTTACATTTCTAAACTAAAAGGATAGAAGAGGTCCTTAACAAAAAGTAATTACTCAGAAATAAGGTAAAATGATCATCATTTAGTCAGATAATCTTTTTACTTAATGCTAGTATATTCATAATGTTACCTGCCATCAGGATGATCAGGATTCAATACACAATAAGTGGGTGGTAATGTGATTGTTACTCTTCAATACAGGCATTCCTCAAGGGCAAGGTTTACTGTTTTGCATTATTGATAAATCCACTTAATATTTGGTATAAAACTTTGCACTTGAATAGTACATGCCTACGGGACAATGATGATAGGTGTCTGAAATGTATACATAAAATCATGTACATACAAAATTATACTGTAAGGTGTATACCTTCAATCCTTCTTCAGGATTCAACCACCATTTTTTTGTTGTTGTTTCTGAATGTGAACGGTCAAGTGTAGAAGGTGAAAAGGCCAGTGGAAAAAGTCAAGCAGAGAATTTAAAAAAAATAGCCAATTTAGATAAATTACAAAACTAGGGAAAATGATTTTAAAAACTAGAAGGAAGAAGGCAAGGAGGCCTAGAAAAGGCCCTCTTGTAGCTCCCTGCATGTGAAGTACACAGCGCCCTGCCCTGCAGAAGGAACTCATCAAAAGAGCATGGACTAGGTGCATAAGGTGTCTGCAGTATTTATTGAGGGAGAGATTTCAATAACAATCTCCTAATATCTAAATGACATGTATTAAAAGGTCAGTGGACCAGTTTTCTGTTTCCACTAAGATCAAGCATGAAGATGTGAGCTTATATAGCAACAGGAAGTATTCAGGGAAGGGTTTAATAAAGAATCTCACAACAATGCAGGTAACTGATATGGGGATAGGTTAGCAAGAGAAGTTGTGACATGGCTTTTTTGAAAGTGCTTTGAAATTGTAGAGATTCTCCTTTCTTCCTGAAAATCACTTTTCAAGCTCTCCTTTAGCCCCCTAAGATTGTAAGATTATATGTTAAGGACCAATACAAAAATCCAACTATAGAGTACTTCAAGGTTAGATTTAACCAGAAAATGCAAGTCAAAATATCTAGTCTCCACTATGTTTATTATTCAGTAACAGGCCCAGAAAATTAGTTGGCACAACTCGAAATATTTCTGTAGCAGAAGGTACACCAGGAAATGTAATACCATCAATTATAATTTTAACGATATTAACGTCAGGCAGCTTATTAATTCCTGACAAAAACACAGTTTTAGAGAACATTGGTCTCAAATATTAGAGAATGTTTTCTTTAGTACACTCTTTAGGAATTCACGTCAAATAACCGCAATACAAAAAGAACAAATGTTCTAAAATCTTTGGTAATCATTTTAATTAAATAATATAGTGCACATCTCCTGTAGAGAACTTTCTTAAAGTTACAAGATGTTCCGTCAACTATTTAAAATAATGAAAATGTGGGTTGAAAAATTCACTGAAAAGTTGCTTTTGAGCATCATTCTTGAATGAATTAGGACTCATTCTCTGGAAGCTCCTTTTGTCATAGGAAAAATCAATTTTATCAATTGCTATTCAGTATTAAAGGCTAGAAAAAATTCTATGGAAATACAGAGAAGGGAAGAACTAATTCTAAGATATCCTCCTTAAAAATAAAAAAGTCAAACAGAAAATTCAGATCAGGTTTCTTAGTTTAAGTAGTGTATACATGATTAGGATCCACAAGCATCACACATTCCATGCATTTACCTTCATAATCAACACACTTTAAAGGATATTCTACTTTGGCAAAACCTTGCTGTCTGCCATTTCTGTTCAGTCGACTTAGCATTATTTTTGCTTTTAATTTCAAGTGCCTTGAATGTGTTTCATATTTCAAATTACCTGAGAAAATGAAGCCTTCAAACCCTGAGTTGTTTTTACATCCCCACAGTTTCCAGCCATACTATCCCACAGGAAGCTCCATCTACTTTGAACCAGTGACTGCCAAAGTTTCATGTCTCATCTTAAACTTTTCATCCTCTCTTCAGCATCATTTTGCTAGTTGCCTATATCTGTGGTTGCCATTTAAAATGTTATCAAAATTACCAAAGGGATTTGTTAAAAACAAAGGCAGTGACCTACTTCAGATTCTGGATATAAATCTTCTAGATTCATGTC
Organism: Homo sapiens; assembly: GCF_000001405.40. Lineage (NCBI taxonomy): Eukaryota > Metazoa > Chordata > Mammalia > Primates > Hominidae > Homo > Homo sapiens. The sequence continues at coordinate 165,214,234 of NC_000003.12, read as the reverse complement.
TGGAAATTTGGGTTGTTAATGAGCCTTCTGAGAGTCCCTCAATTGCCAGGAGATTATGAAATTCTATCAGTTTCGGGATATATTTTATGAAATACCTATGAGCCTCAATGCTAAAATTGAGCCCTAGGATAAATTCTTTTGGATCTCAATCTCCATATATTATTCAAGTTAACCATCACAAACTCCTACACGGTGAGTATTACTGTTTCTATTTTACACATGAGGAAACAGAGGCTCAAATAAATTGTCATGTGGAGCTATGAACACTGCTAGCATGCTGTGTAGACTGCATGGTGGAATGAAGAAAATAAAGTGTTGAGGAGTGAGACTTATATTTGAATCCTGGCAGAGCCACTAAAACAATCTGATTTTGTCATTCATTACCTTTGAGCCCCAGTCAGTCACAGTAAAATAGTAATTATAACGCTGACCTTCATAGGTGATAGCATACCATGATCTCTCAAAAAACATTATTCTATTTCCATTTGCCATTCCAATTTATTTCTTGCTATTTCATTAAATATTAATTCTGTCTTAAAATTTTTTTGGACCTGTTTATCTCTGAATGGAAGTGCATTGCCCCCTTTGAAAATATTATTTTCAAATATTGTTACATCATCATCTAAATATGATTATTTAGAAGGTACATCTGTCATGTAAAGCACCATAGTAAGCCTGTTCAAATAAGTGAAAATTGAAAAGAATTAAACCAATTTTCAAAATTAGGAGAATATTAAACAGAAGCAAAACTACTAAATAACATTATGATATAGCCATATATGATAATATTATGCTGGTACTGACAATTATAATTTTTAAAGAGCATGATAAAATAATAGGTACAAAATGGGACATAGAATGTATGTATAATCTAATTTCATATTAAAATGTGTGTACAAATGGATGCGTATATACAAGCAGATGTGCATGTAATTTTGTCAAAAAACAGAAAAAAAAATGCCAAGATGTTAATGGTAGCTATCTCTTAGTTGAATAATTATGGATAATTTTTTTTTCCTTCTTTGCTGTTTGTATTACATATTTTCAACTAAAAGCATTTTATAGTGAGAAAAAGTAAACACTATAAGATAAATAGAATTTATAAATAAAACAAAATAAATGAGGAATGCTGCAAACTGTTAAAACAGGCCATGATATTATTTACTTCTTTTTTTTATCTTGAGACCTATAACAAGAACATATTTCTTACAAAGATTTCTTTAGATTCTAACATGCCCCACACCATATAACGCTCAATAAAGATAAAGGTTCTCTCTGACTGCACACATTAGAAGTTTTTCTGTAACCATATTGGGCTTCCATGGGAATTCTACAAAGAAAATATCTGCAACAGAAGGCTCTGAAACCAGAGAACAAACTGTTCTTAACTGTTTGGTGTAATTTCTCATTTACACAGGAATCAGCCTTCCCTAAATAAAATTGCAATAGTCCCAAGTCCAGCATTTAGCAAATATCTACTCTGGCCTGGTCACTCTACAAGGCCTTCTATTTTTGTTGTTCTTCTCTCTGTGACCTTGGGCAAGGAAGCTAACCTTTCCATGCCTCTATTTCTTACATAAAGCATCGTGCTAATAGTACCAACCTGATGTTTGTCTTTTTGAAGATTAACTCAGTTAACATTCAGAAATCCCATAAATAAATCTTCATAGCACTACTACAAAAAACATTATTTAACCTTAACAACTACTTTTTAAAAAATTATTTATTATTTTTAAAAACTTTTATTTAAAGTTCAAGGGTACATTTGCAGGTTTGTTATCCAGGACTATAACTACTTTTAAGAGGCAGGTATACAATTGTCACAGATAGTAGATGAGGACAGTAGGACTGAGAGCTTAGTCACTTTCAGCTCACACGTGGCACTGAGTCAAATACCGCCTTTATTGATATCCAAGCCCATACAGCCTATACATAGTCATAAAGCCGTCATGCAACAGATACTACTTATCAATATGTACACACCTACTGTATGCAAGACAGACACTGAACAATGTTGGAAAAGACTCAGCTCTTGCCTTTCTTGAGCCTAGTGAGGAGGGCAGGCAGTTCTTCAAGCAGTAAGTGTGATGGCAAGGGTGAGACTATGAGGCCATAACAGTGAAGAGAAAGGTGCTAAATGCATTCTAGAGAGGTCAGGCAAAGCTACTTGGAGGAAGCAACACTTCAGCAGAGATCTGAAGAGTGAGTAGGAGTTAGCCAGCAAGCTGGTGAGGAACAACAATCAGTTGGCATTTGCTCCCTGGTGTCCTGTGCTGGAGCTCCAGAGCGGCCAACACTAACTTCATGCCAGGTGACAAATGATCTGAGTGCCCACAGCTGCAGCTGCCGCTTTATATGCTATCCCTCCTACTTCCATCGTTAATGAGCCTGAGTCCAGGAAAGAATACATCTTAGTAACCAAAAGCTCTTCTGTTAGCCCTTCGTTCAGAGACACAAGAGAAGCTTCTTCACTTCTGTTAACAATACAACCACAGATCTTTTGTTATTTTCCTCTAGCACTTGCTAAAATAGCAGTTTGCAGCTACTAACTCATTTTTATACATCTTGGTGGCAGGTGGGGGTACGCTCATAAATATGCTCATTATAAAAAATGCATGATTTTTTTCCCCAGGAACAGCTCTAAAGCATACAAATGCTTCTAAGCTTCCTTAAGGTTAATTCTTACTGCTAGGAACTCTTCTGATTTGTTCTTTTAGTAGTTCTAACTTTGGAATATTCCACCTGCAGTTACACAACACCCTAGAGACACAGGTATGCTAGAAGATAGCTATTCCAGATGTAAATAGCTCTACCAAGTAAAGGCAAATTTTGTATCTTTATAGATATTTCCACATTTCAAATAATATTTTTAAAAAAGATGTTTCATTTCTAACAGTTAATTAAGGAGAAGGAGCTTTCTCTTTCTGTTGTGATGTGTCAGGTATAACATTCTTGGTATATAGAACCACTAGAAAGATTTCCATTTTGTCCTTTAGAAGCCACTATTATATGACTATATCTACTATTTTAATTAGTGTGAAAACATAATAATTTAATCTTTACTCAATCATTCAAAAAAAAATGGCAGGGCCCAGGGGGCTCACACTTGTAATCCCAGCACTTTGAGAGGCTGAGACGGGCAGATTGCTTGAGCCCAGGAGTTCTAGACCAGTCTGGACAACATAGTGAAACCCTGTTTCTACAAAAAGATACAAAAATTAGCTGGGCATGATGGCGTGTGCCTGCAGTCCCAGCTACTCTGGAGGCTAAGGTGGGAGGATCACCTGAGTCCAGAAGGTCAAGGTTGCAGTGAGCCATGATTGTGCCACTGCACTCTAGCCTGGGTGACGGAGTGAGGCCCTACTTCAAAAAAATAATTATAAACTTAAGTGCTGTTTGTGGCTGGCAGTATGTTTAGTATAATAGAGAGATTCAAAGAAAGCATGAGATTTGTTTCCTGCCTTTAAGGAGTTTACAGTATGGTCACACAGGCTAAAGAAAAATCATGTTAAACTGATTCAGTGTCACCGCTGATTAAAAAAACAGTGACATTAGGATACACAGAGGGAGAAGAGATCTTTCCACTACACCCAGAAAAAGGAGTACAGTGTGAATCTAGTAGCAGAAACACTTCCATTATTTGTATATATTTTGTATTTGTGTAATTTTGAATGTCCGGCCTTCCAAAGAAGACACACAAGCATGTTGTTCAGGGCATTGTATTTGTATCTTTCAAAATGATCATTTAACAATGATCATTCAGAAGAAATAATCATTTCTTCTGAAATAAGTTTTTAAAAACATAAGTTAGAAAATATTGACCAAGCTAGCTCCATATATGAAGAAAAGTCTATTTCTATTGTTTTAATACAACAGCCTTAAGTCAACCACTAGGGGGAAAAATCCTGCAGTACACACTGCAGTAGATTTCTCCAAAACTGAATGTCCAGCAGTATTTAGACAAGGTGTACTTTCCCTAATAGATTAATCTCCAGGCCAAGCCATACACTAGGGTTTCAAATAAGGTGAAAGTCTTGGGCCAGCCACCATGCCATACTACCTCCTCTCACAGGGATAAAAATAAAGCATTACCAGCAAGTCCAACAGGATGGAGACCAGGCTAGTGTGGAAATTTGTCTTATTGACACTATTGAGAGAAAAAGCCTGACTTCGCACAGATTAGCTCAAGCTGAAACTAAAAGCTTGCATCCTCAGTTGAACTGACACATATAAACCCCATCGACATATATTTTTAAAGTGAGAAATTCCACCCTTGTATATTTTTAGATGAGTGATATAAAAGTAAATTAAGATATATAAATCATTATCACAGAGGAAAGATCTCTCTTGAGGAGCAGGGGAAACTCCAGGGGTTTATTTCTGAAGTTGTTGGTTCAGTGACATTGTTTATTTGGCCCTTCTATTTGCAAGTCATTATGCATTCATTTATAATTTAGTTGGGCAGATCATGTTTATACATTCCTTTAAAATCATTGTATCTTTTCACCCAGTATCATCCTTTCAAATGACAAAAACTTTTTTCTTCACTAGTTTATCCACATATTCCTGTCATTGTCCATAAAAAGTATAGATATCAGTATACAGGAACAAAAAAGAGGAGCACTGCTGTTGCGGGGTCAGGGGCTGTGACCCATAGAAATTATCACAGAGTTCCCAATACTATGTAAACACACAGCTAAGGATTCCCCAAATGATCACTCTGCATATCCAAAATTATAAAGAGGCTCTAGAGAGTTTCGCCTAAATCAAGTTGCAGAGAACCAAATATTAGAAGCGTTCTAATACGGAGGTAAACATACGTTACAGGGAGCAAAGACATTCCTCAAACCCTCAACTCTTTTCCTGAATGTATTTGTTTAACCTGTGTTATATACTCACTATTTCTACTATAGGGATATGAAGAGGAACTGTTTAATTCTGCCTGAATAATCACACAGTTTATAATTATCTTAATAACCATTTTAAAAATGTAAAGGCAATTCTATTCATAAAAGAGGTTAAAAATAGAGTAAGATTAAATACCAATAGTGGTAATTCCAGGGAACTTGCTTAGAAGTACCTGAGCCGTAAGTGGAATCAGCTGACACAATAGCTTCAAAGACTTGGTAAATTTTGAGGATTTTAGTAATTTAAGACCATCAGGAAAACTAAATGTGAATGATATAGAACCCTGACCGTATTCCAATTTTACTATTCATTAATTCATTCAGTAGATAAATATTTTTCAAGTACTTTCTAGGCTCTGAGGATATAATATTGAAAAAGAGTGCTATGTTTTGCAACTTACATTCTAATATGGTAGACATGCAATACATAAACCATACAAATATCCTAAAACTTTATGCTGGCCCTTGTTGTTATGTACAACATTCAATGTTTTAAGAATACTAAATGCCTACATTGTTAGTGGCACTAGGAATGAACTGATGATGAAATCCCCAAATTTCAGTCCCATGTTCACGATCATCTTCAATATCACACAGCCTATTTGTATAATATTATCTCTTACTGCTTACCTCTGAGACCAATAAAGAAGGCCATAGCCAACCCAAACCAAATGTCTGACCTGAATACATCTCTCGCCCAGAACCTCTTCACACCTACCAAAATTGTTCTTTTAAACCATCTGTTTAGAAGGGGGCTTTCCAATCTGAAGGCCTTACTAATGCCCCTAATTTAGATCGCTCCCTCAATTTAAATGCTACACACCTGTGCATGTCTCACTTTAATGGCATTTATTTTGTATTTTACTGTGTACTCATATTCATGAACATGCCTAACCTAGTCATTTGAATGGCAACTCTTTGAGGACAGGGACTCAATAGTTTCTAACTTTTCTCAGTATTTTAGGCTTTATTTAGCATGCTATCTTACCTAGTTAGCTTTCAAGTCATATTTCTTGTATTGAATTGTGTTATATCTGCTTATGTGCAATGATAAAAGATACAATTCAGTCACTGGTTCATGAACAACATCTGTTCAAGGGAATCTATACAAGTTTATAAGTAATCTAACATTAATCTTAGAGTAATATTACTAAATATAAAACCTCAGCCTCGATTATGTCCAATTTAGCTCTGAATCTTAATCTTTCAATTTTGTTGTTTCTAATATAAACTCTCGGTCAGAACTCTCGAGTTTTCAAAACTCTTGTGAATTCCACATACAACCTGAACTTTAGGGAACCTATATTTATATATCTATGCATCCTATCCCCATATAATCACCTCGGCAAATAATTTATGTTCAAAATGTAAAAACCAACCTTTCCTCAGAATTTAAAAGCATAGAAAACTCAATGCACAACTGAATGAAATTCAACAAATGTAAAGTATAACAGTAAAACAAATATATTCTTTTAAATTCAGATTTAATATTGTGGTAATGGATCTGCATACTAAGTTATCCAGATAGACATACAATGTATGAAGGTGCAGAAATTCATCTATATTCAGCACATGTCTATTTGTAATCATACGATAATAATTCTGCATCTAGGTCACATATACATGTGTATATACACAACACACATTTACAAAACAAAATGTACATATGCATGACATGCATTTTTCATAACTAGTGTTTTCATAGCTACACCATGTTTTTTTCTGGCACATAGATTTGAAAACACTGATATATTACAGGTGTGTTTAAGTCTACACCTACAGGTAAAAGTCTACTCCACGGCAGTCAAACATTTTTTGCCATTGTCTTTTAAGTCATATCTAGTAACACTGCACAGTGATACAGTTTAGGTTTACTTTCTTTTTCTCTAACAAAGAAACATAAAAGTATTTTTCTATCATTATCATGTGTTTCTTAAGACTGTGACTCGGGTCACATTTCTATTAATAAACAATGTTCCGTAAAGCTTTTATTGTATCATTTTGGAAAAATGAAAGATTGTGACTCCCAAGTCCCCATGATCCTGGTGAACATGAAATGGGTGTATACACATAGGCGCAATCCAGGACACACAACGTTTGGTACACAAAGGACGATCAGACCAGTCCTACCCAGAACAATTCCATTGAGTAGTTTCTGTTGCACGTACCAGCTCGGCTGCCCAGGATCCATTCTGCCTTTAAATACTACAAAGCAATTTACACTCCAAGTGCCGCCCGCTTAAGTTCTTCCTTTTGCTCTCAGAAATGGAAATACTTATACAGTGAGTGATGCCTTGTTGCAGCTGCTTCGCGAGTCCAGAAACCCATCTCTGAGCCGCGCGGGATTAAGCCCTGCGGCTCCAAGCTCATTCTCTCCAGCAGCTGGCAACTGGCCGGTCGCTGGGAGGCGCGAACGAGCACCAGCACGCCATCTGGAGGCGTTAAGAAGCAGCTGCAGCAAATTTATAACAACTGTGGGTGGAACAAGGATGTCAGAAAATTCTCTTTTTAAATAATCAAATGGTTTTTTCTCTTGTTAAATAATCACATGGTTTTATTTACACATTTCTGTGGATTAAGAAAAGACCAAAAATTGCAGGAAGATCTCATTCTGTTGCCTATGAATATTCTCTGTCTTTCGTACTTCACAATAAAATAAAAAATATAGATTTCACGTATGTACAAACACCACGAGATGGCAAATTTTCTGCTTCTTGGTGACTCGTCTCAAAGGAAGATAATTAACACTGACTACTATCAGAAGTTTCAAGATTTGGGTATTTAACTGAAAGGCAGCTTTCCAAAAGAGAAATCTATCCCTCTGAACTAACGCAATCCAAGTGCGTTAAACATGCTCTGCTACTTTGAAAAACTATGAACCTTACCTCTGGAAATGTTTAGTCTGCTTTTTATCAATGCATTACACTGACTTTAGTATGAGAACAAGGAAAAGCAGTTTCAACTATACCTCATGTGATCAGGTGTTCATATGACTTTAATATTTCAAAAAAAAAGCTCTTTCAATTAATTTCCCACTATTAATCTCCCTAAGCTTCTTTCCCTTAAAGAGAATAATTTGGTATACCTGGATGAGATATAAGCTTAATTAATTGAATAGAACATTTTATGGCTTGTCTACTGCGGCATGCATTTAGAAATATAATCGTTAAAAATTTCTTCATTACCTGCAGATGAGTGAACCCCACCCCTGCCACGACTCCTACTTCTATCATTGCATCACGATTTTCAATTTCACTTTTTAAAAATACAAATTTCACTTTAAAACTCTTTAATCAGAATCTTATGTAGAGTGGTTGTGGTGTTTTTTTGTTTTGTTTTGTTTTGTTTTGTTTTGTCAGGGAAATGTGAACCAGAGATTGATTATGCACTCTGTGGGGCCCTCTTGGGAAACAGAAATTCCTAATCACTTCATTTTCAAATCAGTTTTTGAGAATGTCCGGCAGAATAAACAGAAGAAATTTCCTCCATCAGTATTTCATCTCAAGTGTTTATTTCCATTTGTATAACAAATGAACATACCGGTTTTTCAAGTACATACCACTAAACATATTCTGAAGAAAAGTAAAATTTTTATTTTAAATACAGATAGTATGTACCAAATATTTATACTGTAATTTTTGTGAGTTTGTTAAAGGTCCGAAAACAGATGTTTTCACATATAGATGTGTCTAACCAAATAAAATTTACATGAATATTCAGATGTAACATGTAGATAAATCAGGGATAAATTTTCACACATAAACATCTTGACCTTACAAAATCATTGTTTAAGTAAATATTCCCATTTTTTACAAAATATTGTTTAAGTAAATATTAAGCATTGTTTAAGTAAATATATAAAAATTTAAGAATTCTTTTGAAAATATTAAGTAAATTAAATATTTAAATGTATAAACAGAAAAAAAAGTGAGACATTAATGAGAGGAGTTAACATATGAATCTCATAGTCAAAGACATTGTGGCTATGCTCATCAGAACCAGCTGAAAATGATAGGAGCTGATGCTGCATGCAGAAAAGATGACGACGTGGTTAAGGGAGGAAGAAAAGTATTATGGTCACGTGTCGTTTTCTGAAAGGTCTAAAGTTAGTCTTAAAACACTGAGAACAGGGAAAATATAATAAAGGAGTAAATCACCAAATAGAAAGATACTAAGGAAGTAAAGGATGTTATTTCATTTTCCATAATTTAATATGTGTAACTCAAGAAAAGAAAAAGTTTAAGACAATGTCACACCGTGAGGTCTAAAGAAAGAAAATAATAGGGGCCTTTTAATGTCTGTCTCTTTCAGTGAACTAGGATGAAGATCTGTATTAGATTTCTATTACTGTATAACAAATTACCAAAAATTTAGTGGACTAAAACAAAATACATTTATTACATCACAGTTTCCATAGGTCAGCAGTCCAGACATGGCTGAGTCCTCTGCTCAATGTCTTATGAGACTGTGATCAAGAGGCCAATTGGGCTGTATTCTTATCCAGAGGCTTGACAGAGAATAATTTATTTCCAAATTTAATCAGGTTGTTGAAGTATTTATTTCTTTAGGGTTGTAGAACCCATGGTTGCTTGCTTCTTCAAGGACATCAGGAAAATGTGTTTTCATTTTCAGGCGGTCACCAATCTCTCTTTTAAGGAATTTCACCTGATTAAGCCAGGCCCACCCCCAAATAACCTCTCTTGATTAACTCAGAATCATCTGATCAGGGAGTTGAATTACATCTGAATAATTATTTCCCCTTTGCCATATTTTATTGAGTAGAAGGAAGTACCAGGTTCCATCCACACAAAACAAGAGGGGATTAGGCAAGGGCATGATTCATTGGGGGTCACCTTAGTGTGTGTCCACAGCAGGATCTATGTAAAGGCATGATATTTCTTGCTTACCACGCCAAAGTTAATTGGGATAGCCTTGGGGAAGTGACAGTATGGGGTAATTTTGTTGTCTTTAGAGTCAAGGCAGAGACTTATTTATTTATCATAGGAGAACTATAAATACATAGTTATATCTGTGATGAAAGAAGTGTAACAAGAACAACAAAAGCCTGGAGGAGTCATCTGATGAAGAAGAAACATGGAAGTAAAAGACTGATGCAGTGAATTGAGGAATGATGTCAGACTCATGAGTAGGACTTAGGACAGTGAAGAACATTGGTGCAGATGAAGCTGCAACAGTTCTATGTGTTAGATGTATTTATGTTGCCTGGATGTCTTCCCACAGGCCCTCAGGCCTATGCAGCCATGTTCTGAGGTGGCTCTGCTTTATTAGATAAGTGTGTATACCTGACTGAAAAGAATACAGTCAGAGATTGTCCAGAAATTTGTGGTCTGTGTGGCCTTACTGAAAAAAAAAAAAAACAAATAACCTATCCAATTAGATTTTCAGGAATTTGAACTAACAGAAAAGAGAGAAGTTATCAGTTGCTAGAGAACATTATAAATTAAAGGTCATGAAATAACTGTGAACTGACTGCTAGCTAATACAAAAAAGAACTACTTAGCAGGAAAAAAAATGGTGGAGACTCAAAAGGAAGTAGCGATTAGAAGTAATAGTCATTCATTTCATTCCTCCAAAACATTCATATGTAATTCCTATTATGTACTGGGCACTGCTTTGGGTGGCAATGGTACCACAATGAATTAAAGTCCCTGTTCTGATGAAACTTATTGTTGTAGGAGGTGGTAGACAGTAAAACCCAAAAGTAAATAAATTATATATTATCAGGTAGAGAAACTGTAGGAATAAACAAGTTATGCAGTTCAGGAGTAATGAGGGAATTACTACTTGGGATAGCATGGTCAAGAATGCCTACATGACTGTATGTCATTTGAACAGAAACCTAAATATAGTGAAGGTGCCAGCTAATATTTGTGGAAGGATGTTCTGGGCAGAGTGCATAGCAGCTTCAAGTGTCCTGAGATATGTGTGCTCTTCTTAAGTCGAAGGAAAAGCAAGATGGAAAATGTGGCTGGCACAGTGGGAGCAAAAGAGTAAATGATAGGGCATAGGTCAGATACAGGCTGAGTGAAAGATCATATAGGGCTTATAACCTGTGTAAGGACTTTGGCTTTTACGTAGAGAGATAGGAAACCAGTAGAGGGTTACCGAAAATTGCATCATACTTGAATTTTTAGGAATCACTCTGCCTTCTGTAAAGAACGGAAAGAAATTAAGGAAAGTGTCAGGGAGGCAACCATGCAGACCCCAAAAGAGACAGAAAAAAGATCTAATATCCAATTATGTTTCCCATGAAGTTTGGCTGTACTAGTTTCAGTTCTTGATTTCTATGAGATGAAGACCGTAAATCTTTTAAATAAACAAACAAACAAAATCCCACCAACAACCCTTTTCTTAAACTAGTTGGATGGATCTCAATTCCTTGTAAAGTGAACACTATACTGTCCACATGGTAGAAAGAAGCCAGTCCAGCTTACTGAGTAACAGGTGTTGCGTTTTGGTTGATTCATCCTATCAAGCTGAGTTGTATATGAAAGGTCCCTGCATGAATTAGTACTTGCTCAAAGGTTTAAGGAATGTCGAAACTGTTCAGCACTTGAATATTCTGGATTCCTGTTTATTTTGGCATTACAGTTAAAAGGTAGTAGAGTTTTTAAAACATGTTACCTTTTAGTAAATGCTAGAGAACACTTGCACATGGGGAGTTAATGTCAGCCTATTGTATCATTCAACAGAGTTATTTTTCCAGGGCATTGGTTTAAACCCACAGAAAAAGGCCAGTTTCTAAAGATTATCTGATCTTTTGTGACACAAGTGTTCCAAAAGTTTCTAACTTAGTAAATATTATCATTCAATATCAATACAGTGTATTTAAGACATATAATTCATTTTTAATATTTTATTGATAGCTATTCTGTTTGTTTTATACTACAGAATCTTTGAAACTACTCTACATTTTAGAAATAAAATAACTCAAACAAATAATTTATAAGAAGTCCATTAATTTCCAACGTTGTATCCTTCTAACACACACGCATACAGAAACACACATGCCTATGTATCACTTGTATATGTGTAGGCATATTTTGGCTATTTTTCATGGCCCTTCAAATGAAATATTACAAAATAAACCATAATATATTTTAAGGTGAAAGTGGGAGGTATCAGCAGTTGCTTTTTCACTTTCTTAACCACATCAAACATTTCATCACTACCCTTTGAATAAAAATATCCAACAGAAACAAAAAGTAAGAAAATTACTTTTAGGTCAGATTCTCCTTTGAAATTATTAAGGGCACAACATGAAATACCTACTTAAATATACAAGTGTTAAATATTTATCTTCTATTTATGTTTTTGGCAAATCTTTTTAGAAGGTACTTTAAGATTTTTCGGGAGGGGGAGGTAAATTTGTAGCATCATGGGTTCTACATTATTTGATAGCTTTACCATCATTAAAAAACTAGTGAATGATACCTTCACCATGACACATATGTTTATTATTTTTTTCTTGTTAATATTATTCAAAATATGTGCAAAATAATAACATTTCTAATAAACATTTTCCTACTTATCAATTTTTTTAAAACCATGCCAACTGAAGTGCCAAATTCAGACCACTCATCTGTGAAAGTATTTTGTCAAACGATGAAGAAAAAATGACATGCATATGGAATAATATTTATCTTTAGATGCCCAAATATGAAAAAATCAATTTCAGTACTAAAAAGGCAGAGTTACAGATATGGAAATCACTAAACATTTGTTGTTTAGCAACATAGAAATGTGAAGGGAGACTTAGATAGAATATAGTAGCTAAAAGCAGCTATAGATGCCTAAGCCTCAGCAGCAATATAAGGGAAGGAGCCAAATTCAAAGAAACTTCAGTTTTTGTTTTTTGGGTTTTTTTTTTTAATTGAACTAAGCTACTTTGTGAATTACTGACATTAAGAAATAAATTCGGTGTTTCACTACACTCTTGTTATATACTTAAGATGCAAGACTGTACATAAGATTTCCATTATTTGTGAATTCCAGCACGTGATCATATTGAAGACTTTTATCTATTCCCATACTTAGTGCTGAAAGCATTTTTTATCAGGTTCTTTATATTGAAATCAGTCTGATTTCAAAATATTCACTTTATATTCATGTTCTCAAATAGCTTTCAAAAAGTCAAAAACCAGGAGAAATTTGGTTTTACATGTAAACATGTACATATATGGTTTAGGCTGTCTAATTTGTGTAGCTGATACCAGTACTGTTCCTCTATGATGCAGTTGGTTTAAAGTCAGTAGATTAAAAGGACACATACAGAACTTCAAATGTGCTCCCAAAGGGATATCCATGAAGACTAATTAAAATATTGTGGATGTTTCAGAAGTAACTCTCAAGCACTACAATGCTTTCTAACATTTTGTCACTTCATTGCTTACAACAAATTCTGTAGTTTCATGGCTTCAGTTGTTTTTTCAAGTTAAATCACTCCTTCTCTAGCTCAAACTCATATCTTGAAAACTAGTTCTGCATTTCTACCTGGCAGGTGAGTTTCTTTGCATAAATATATACTTAAATAACTAGGAAGTTCATTACCTTAGACTTTTAAACAAGTCATCTAGGGGTAAAAAAAAAAAAAAAAACAATTGATGGAAAGTAGAAGTTTTAATTTGCTTAACTGTTTTTTCAATCAGTTGGATTTGTCCAAAAATAAAATGGCCTGCTCTGAAATGCACTAAGCTCCATTACCTATGTAACAAACCTGCACACCCTGCACATGTACCCTGGAACTAAAAATAAAAGTTTATTTAAAAAAGTATATACATAATCTTGATAACAACTTGCCAGGGGACAGTGAAGTAGATTCTAATATCACGTAATTGGTCAGATTAGATTACCTTCCAAGTCCCTCTTAGTCTTGAGATTTTATGATTCTATAAAATTATTATTTCCTTCTCTCATAATATCATATTTAAAAATATGTTTCTACCACTAAAGCTTATCTGATTTGCCTTTTTCCATTACATATAACACCTACATTTATTTCCTGATACATTATTCAATAATCAATTTACTTCAACTTACATTTGATTTATTTCTCTTCATCTTAGTCTTTTAAAACTTTTTCCCCTCTCAGTAATTTTAATCTTAACATCTACAATTTATTAATTCAAAATAATTTTGAAAAATATCTTTAAAAGTAGACAAATAACTTTGTGCTTAATCCAGCCTATAAATAAACATTTGTTCATATTGAATAGTTTAAATCTGATTGTCTCAAAATAGCTCACATAACCTTTAAGATTAAAACACTTGTTTACTTCAAAAAGAAGCTGAAGGTTCATTTGGAAGATGCCTATAAAGTGCTTTAAAATGTTTTAGTGAAACAAGATATAAAAGATCAATGTTTAATTGAATATTTTATAACTTCTTCATACTTATAGCTTGTTAAATCTATGCTGATTCACTAAGACTTATAAGATGCTATTAAAAAAACAAAATTATCAATTGGTGTGGAACTTTTTCTACGATATAAAATGTTTCAAAAGTGTTTCTCCTATGGAGATACAGAAAGATCTACAGAAATAAACATACAACAAAACTAAAAATATTAATTCATGTTTTATCACATTTTTATTTGCTTAACTTTTATAGCCTATGTTCCCATTTATAAAATTGTGTGTAACTATATTTTCAATTGTTTCAACAGTGGTATATCAAAAGTTAAGCAAATGACAATGCACTTAGGTTTTGATGGTTATCAGACATGCAATTTGTTGACCTAAACAGCATTTGAAATGAACAAAGAGAAAAAAAAATGTTTTTTTTCACAAATTTTTTACAATGCTTCACAAATGTTTTTACAATGCTTAAAAACAGACAAACACAATACGTAAATGGCTACATGCTGTACATAATCACAGATTACCACAGCTACATTTCAAGTTTGGAACTTTCTTGAGTGGCTACTTCATTATACAACAAACAGTTCTCTAACCCTAGTTTAATTAGTAGTAAATCTTTTAAAAGATGTATTTATTTTATTTAAACCATCAGAATGAGCAAAATATATGCTAGACCAAAAAATAAAGTCTATCTTAGTTATTTCAATATCATTGTTCCTCTCTGAAAAATGACAGAATCATTAAAACTATTTGAAATATTGTAATGTTTATAATTTAAAAACCAATCAGCAATGTAGACATAATTAATATTTGTTGAACTAAAAATTACATCCTATATATTACTTTTATGTTTTCCTTTTATCCATTGTGCATCATCAATAAAGAACATCTTTTTTTAAATGAGAGTTCTCCTTTTTCACAATGTAAATGATGTTTGGTTAAAATAAAACTAGGGACATGTAAATGTCTGTATGCAAAGCACTAAAAAGTCACAACATAAAATCAAATATCCATCATAATCACTTACTCTACAATATTTTTATCTGGCCTGTAATATTTGTATGGGTAGTACTCATGTTTAACACTAACAACCTATTCTAGCTATTCAATCTTCTGCAGCTCCCCAGTACCATCAGGCCACACTAACATCTGCTCAGAGTAAACAAATTAATATATTCAGAACTCTCTCATCAAAATGACCTTGAAAATAGTTCCAAAAAGTTAAAGAGATTCAGTAACTTTAGGAGTGATGTTGCCCAATGTCTTTCAGGGTTACTTTAATATCCTCCAGCCCTGAGGCTCAAAGGGCATGTGTGTGATTTCACACTTGCCCACATAAAATATGGTGTATCCAGGAGTGAGTCTCCTCAAATTGGGCAACCACCTGAAAAGGCCAAAAATATCTCTGTGACACATCAAACTACTGATGCAGTTTGGTTTTTCCTAAATCTGACTGATTCATTATGGGGATGTACTCCTTTGGCAACCCTGCCTAGATATACCACTTTGAAGCCCAATTTGGCGACCCAGTGAGTGAAACACCTATGACAAATTTTCTTTGTATATCTATGTCTTCCTGTATGTAAAATTCACATGGAAGAATTTATTATCCTAGAAAATACTGGAAAGAGGTTTGGAATTCATGCCAGTGAGTCTGAAATGCTATATTTAAAAAGAATCCATTTTAATACATGGTGCTTTTTATTACTTTCTGGGTCCCTGTAGATATTTTACTAATCTTAATAATCTTGAAGAATGCTGAGTATTTTAAAGAACAAATGAAAACATTGTAAGTATGATATATACACACACGTATACACGTATATATATATAATCTAAATTCATTTTATGCAGAACCAACACAGTTGCCATACTAAATTTAGAGTGTGTGTATATGTATATATCCCAAAAAATTCCACAGGCCCCTGGCTGTCTCTGTGACCAACTCCATCCTTTCCTATCTTTTAATGTAGGTAATACGGACACTAACTTGTGGTATTATATGTCAATAATATGAACTAACGATGGTATAAATTATAGTATATACAAAATTCACTAAATAAAGATGTAAAACATATATCCAGGCCTGTCTATCGAAGGATTTTATGCATAAATTAAAAGAGAGTACTGTTTCTTTGCAAAGGGTGAGTTAGAGTTCTTTGAATGCTTTTGAAAATAGGTTCAAGATCATTCTACCTACAATTATAATAGCTAAATAACTTTGCCTTCCTTGGACAATGTATTGCATTCTCTTCAGGAAGAAATGGCAAGAGATACAGAGATGATTCCCCAGGCTACCTTCTATTCACTTTGGGAGTTAGTGGAAGACTGCCCTCTTTCCAACACAGTCTCTGATGAAAGGGATCTATTAAAAAGAATTGCGTTGGTTTACACTGCAGATTGAATGGAGCATTAAACGAATGACTGCATTAGTATGACTGCAGTGGGGGTAATGGTCGCCTCTGTAATGTTGTAATAATACTTTCACATACGTGTTATTACACGTATTAATTGTTCCAGTGTCCGTATCTAATTTATCGCGAAATGGTATCCAGCATCTCTCAGGCAAATGCCCCCCTCCCAACTCCCTGTGCCCTACAGTTTTATGCCCCCCGCCCCCGGCAAATGTAAACAGATGAGGAAATATGTGTACTTTCAAATCGTCACCCATGTATCATGAAGGTGGGGGATTACTGCAAATCACTTGGAAACCGCTCCCCGGAGGCGTTTAGCGATACCGCCCACCAATACAGCTCAGATGTTCTTAATTTGATCACCCTCCACCTTTTGGGCTGTAATTTTCCAAACAGGCATCTCTCTCATTTGCAAATAAAAGTTACAAATCAATCCACGGGTACAGAATGCTGACTTCCCGACACTCAATTTCACAGGGTGTCTCTTGAAGAGCTGCCAGGTTGTGACCGATAATGGGGGAGAGGGAAAGGCGGACAGCGAAAGCGAGAGAGAGAGAGCGAGAGCGAGAGCGAGAGAGAGAGCGAGAGAGAGAGAGACAGAGAGAGGAGAGAGAGAGAGAGAGAGAGAGAGAGAGACAGAGAGAGAGAGAGAGAGAGAGATCACTTGCTTCCTTGCTTCCTAAGCCGGGATTTTGCCTGCGATGCGCGGCGAGAGGACTGCGGCGGCTGATTTACACAGTTGGCGCGGAGGAGGGGCCGGGGGTGCGGGGGGGACGCGCTGGCGGAGCTCCGGCGATGGGCTGATCTGGGGGCTCCCGAGCGCCGCTCCCTTGGTGCGCGATTTGGGGGCGGCTGATGGATTTGCATTCAGGTTCCAGCCCTGCGTTTCCTATATTGACTCCTTATACACGACCTGGCGCTCCAGTTTAGGAGGAGACGTTGGTAAGTAACGTGTAATCCGATTTTAGTTATTTCCTAGGCCATTAAAGTGGCACTTTTAAAGCAGGTCAGTCTTAAAAGATGCCGCCGCCGCCGCCGCCGCGAGCGTCTCCTTGGCCTGAAACGTTCAGCAGTCCCCTCCCCCTCCCACCCCCCTCCCCCGCACCTTCTCCCGCTCGAGAAGTGAGGGTGCTTGAATGGTGAGCGGTCAGAGGACTCACTCTCTGCCAACGGTATCGCTTCACCTTCGTGCTTTGCCTGAGATCTCCCAAATCCAAGTGGAATTTGGTGTGCACAGCCATACTGTGTATTTGTATCTTCTCTCCCCCTCTCCTTCTTTCCCCCCACCTTCGCCGTCTGACCAATGCTGGGATCTGAGATCTAGTCGCCCCCTTCCTGCCTCCTTTCCGCCTCTCCCCACCCTTTTCTTCTCTCATCTACACGCCACCAACCCCCACTCCCACCCACCTAAAGGGCAAAGAGCAAAGACACCCTGGAAAAGCAAGGGCTAATTCCATCTTCTCGGATGGAAGGAGGCCTCGGGCAGGGATTGCGCTGTGAGTGACAACCTTTGAGGAAGAGAGAAAGAGAGAAATCCAGAGACTGAGCTCAGGCTCTCGGGAACAACGAAGCTCTCCACTGATCCAGAGCACCGAGATTTTAAATCAAAGGAACCTAGTCCTGGGACACTCACTCTGCCTGCCTGCCTACCAACCATCGAGGGCATAGGGAGCTGTGGTCGTGAGCTCCCTGTCGCTGGCATCGCCGCGCTAGGTGCGCGCCCCGCTCTCCCATTGGTATGCAGCGACCATTTCCCTGCAAGTCTCAAAGGTGGAAACATTTAAACGGATTACAAGCGTGATTCGGTAGCCTTTCGGAAAGTTGGTGGCCAGAAGAGGAGAAGCTACAAGGCTACAGTATGATGGATACAATTCAGCTTCGCAGAGAGTTTGCCCCTCCTGCTGGGTAGCCCCTCGCAGCAAACCTCGGAGATCCTGAGCGCTCTGCACCATAGGTACTCGCCGCCATCCTTTCCTACTTCGCCTAATTGAAACCAGTATTTCTCGTATGTAGGATGTGCATTGTAGAGCACATCGAGTTTGGCCGCGGTGTATTCTGTACGCTCACAGGTGCTAGGGGTTTGTTGCAGTTTTGAATTGGATCAGTTAGGTGTAAGGACGTTGGTGGAAGGAGGGGTACCGGAGACTAACATACCCTCGGACCTCTTTTCTGGGTGAAGACATCGTAAGTAACTCCAACAAATAGGCCAGGTGGCGGAGCGAAGGACCCCTCCCCCAGTGGAATGCTCGCTGGTGTTGTAAGAGGTAGAAGGAAAAAGGCTTGAGCTTTTAATAATTTTCCGTTTCTAAACAGACCATTGTGCGTTTCGCCTGACGACAGCAGATTAGAAAAGGCTCTATAGACGGCTCAAAGCTCTTCAGAAAATGAATGATGCAGCGTTTTAATTATTTGTTCTAGGGAAGATAGTTTTGCTTCCATATTGGAATACTTAATCTTAGATCTGAAAAAATTAGTGAGCTGTAAGATCCAGCAGTGGGGAGGAGGAAGTGGGAAGGGGGCACAGCAGGGAGAAAGGGCTTCTTGTCCTCCCTCTGGACAAACAAATGGCTCTGGGCGCTCCCAGCAGGACACGGAAAAAACTGGGGCCCCATGGCTCAATATTCCCTAACTTTTGGAGCCCTCCCTGTCCTTTAGACGCGCTATCCTGAGCTAAAGAAAAGGAAAAAGGTGAGATAGCCTTTAGGACACAGCCCAGGTCCAGAACGTAAGGGGTTTTAGTTCAAGAAATAACAGAGACTTCATTGCCGAGACAACATTTACCGTCATCTGGAAGCTCAGGGCAGCCTCCGGGTTACCCATCGATTCCATCACATCATGGGTTCCGATAACACCCGATAAATAGTCACCGCCTCTGCACATTGGGTACCCAAAGTGCTGGGCGGGGGATGGGGGGGAGGGTGCGGGTGCCGGCAGCTGGGGAGGGAGAGGGAATTGCTCTGATTCTGAGCTTAGGCTATCGGTATTGGTTTACTTCTTGGCTAAGACCTATGGGAGCAATAGGGTGAGTCTGGAATATTAAGGGTAGAATGTTAGAAAATTCTGCCCTCCTGCTTACTTAGTGTATGGTGGCATGTTTCTAAAATTAGCTACTGTCTGCCAGTGGACTCCTGTGCGGTCATTTTAAATGCAAAATATCATGGAAATTGCCTTTGACTGACTTTTAAGGAACACATTGTTAGGTGATTTACCTGTTTTAGAGCAGTAAGAAATTGACATGTAAGCTGTGCTTTGCTTTAAAATTTGCTTTTGTAAAGGGTCCATTAAGGGAAAACCATCTCTACCTACTAACTTTGAGTCCTTGGGCAATTGAGGTTCAGTTTAGTTCTTTAGCAACCAAAAAGTCCCTGCCTTCTCCCCTCCCGGCGAGGAGTTGGTGACAGGATTGGTGTGTGCTGGTGGGGGCAGATGGGGAGCATCCACAGCACACGGGTCCTGTTGATTAGACTCCTTTGCTGCACACTTGGCTCTCCCCAGTTTCCCCACCAAGCTGCATTCCTTCCCAGCAGGCAGGACTGTAGTGCTGTCAGCTGAGCCTTAAAAAAATTCCTCTGAAAGCGTTCCTGAACTGTCATCTGGTAGTCCCTCTACAATACAATATCTTCCTTCAATCACCTCCACCCCCACTCCCACTACTCCCTAGGATTCACTCCCCGAAAATTTCACGGAGAAATATTTGAGTTTAAAAAATAAGAAAGAGAAAGAACGGACAAAAGCATCCAAATCCTTAAATCCACCCCAATCCCGCGAGGTCTTTCCCGGTGGCGCAATGTGAAATGTACCATTGTTACCCAAGTGGTCTGTATCTCCTTCCAGAGAATTGGCTTGTCTCTGTTTTTAAAAAGTGGAAGAAAAGAAATGCTGTTGAATCCAGGGGCTATCGAAGGCTTTGACCTGCAGCACAACAAAAGAATTCCTGGTGCAACGGGATCGAAGCAAAATGCAGGAGAAACTCGGTCCAAGTCTTTCAGGCTGTCTGAGCTCTTATTCGGGACACCCAGGCAGAATCAGACAGATTCAGCTTTTCTGCTTTGGGGACCTGGATTTCCCCCCATCCCCGTCATTGCAGGGAATGGCTGTCCTGTGAAAATGATACTTACGAAGGATAGTCTCACTTTTCAAACCACCTGCACTAGAGAGATGAGCTTTGGAAACTAAAGGAGCAAATCATTCAGGGGATGGTTTCCTTGAGAGTTTAAAAAAAAAGAAAGAAAGAAAGAAAGAAAGAAAGAAAGAAAATGCCTATCCCTGCCCCCCTCCCCCATCTCCACCTTCCTCACCAAAGAAATGTTTCCCATAGGTTGGTCTCCTCCCCCTTCTCTCTGGTTTCTTATTTTGCCAATTTGTGTTCTCTACCCCTCTACTTCTTTTCCCTACACACACACACACACACACACACACACACACACTCACTCAACTGTATAGTCAGGGGTTCCTAGTGCTCGCTCCCGAACCCATGCTAAGCGCGTTCCCTTTGGAGCTCATTTTCATGACGTGGAATGCTGGGTTCAGGGTTATAGCACATATATATTTTTAAAGCCGGAGCGAGAGAAGTCTGAGATTCTGCACTGTGATTGAGCCTTCCTTCCTCCCTGCCTCCCTCCTGTGCTTCCTCCCAGTGCCCAGTGATGTGCTGTGGGTACCCAAAGAGAGCAGCCACCGCGGCGGCAGCGGCAGGGGCAGCAGAGCTGGAAGCCTGCTGCAGCCCCTTCTCCTCCCTCCTCTACTGAGTGTGCCAAGCGGCAGTTCTGCATCCTAAAGAAGCCCATTGAAGAGCCCATTGCATTCCCAGCACGTCTCAAGCTTGCTGCTTTTTTTTTTTTTCTCTTAGTCCCCCCGCCCAACCCCCTTTATCCCCTTTTGCTTCAGCTTCAGCAAAGCAAAGGGAGGGGGAGGGAAAGAGAGAGAATCCTTAAACTCAAGCTTTTTTTTTTTCTTTTTCTTTTCACGGTTCCATGCTAATAAATAAATAAATAAATTACAAAAAAACCCGAAACCCAAAAAAACTCTGGCAAAATAGGTAAGTCCAACACATCTGTAGCCTTTTTTGCCTAAACCATAGGGACCTGAAAAACAAGAAAAATATTTAAGATGGTGAAGAAAGAACTTAAGTAGATTTTAATATTTCATAAGGGAGATGGAAGACTAATTGATACTGCAATGTAGCCTTTTCTCTCTCCCTCTTTTTCACTGAATTGTTTTTAATTTTTGAGTATTGCATGTCTGAGGCAGATTTCTCTTTGCTTTCTCACGGTATCTCCTTTCTTTACAGCTGTGAACATTATAGGCGAGTGTAATGTGAAGATTTATTTCTTTCACTTTTCCTATAAATTATATCATTGTGGTTTAAGAAGAAGGTTGATGAAATATATCTTTCTGTGTGCTCTCTATGAGGAAAATATATGCTAGAAACTTTGGTTTATTTTTGTTGATTAAAATCAGCTATTAAATTTTGATTGATATTTTAGTGACTCAGGAAGGACAGTGTAATAAAACTGCATTATTATCATTTATGTAAACATTTTCATATACTGATGTTATTAGGCAAGGAAAACGATGCATAGAGAAAGACTGTTATCAGAATAGTGCACTGCATTTGTTTCTTCTGATTGGAAAAGAATGATATCTTTTTTGAAATTTATTTCGTGTGATAGATCATTTATCAGCAGGTAAGAATAGAGGTTTCCACTCTCTCTTGACTTTAACTACCCACCTCCCCTCTAACCAGCCACCTGCTCTTCCAGCTTTTTACAGGGTTCCTCAGTTGATCTTGAAGGCGCAGATACACATTCCAAACTAAGTTTTGCAAATGTTTTAATTCAGACACTTTCAGACTCAGCATCCTCTAGCTGTCCCTATCTTTAGCTCTGACAATTGCACGGGCATGTTTTTTAGAAGGGCTAATCACTCCTACATGTTTTAAATAGTCAAATGATACAAATATATACAAATTATTTATTAAATTAAAGAAGATGACAATAATGTATTATTGGGCAAGAAGATGTGGACATATAGTGTACATACTGACTATACACTGTAATAAAGCATGTTATGATCATTTCATAAAAATAAATCTTAAGTTTTCCTGAGATGCTGATCATTTTACACATCTCAACATCTGATATTGAGCAATAGGCTCATACTTTATCACACTAATCAATATAATAATTTTGGAGTATATCATGTCTTTTTAATCATCAAAACCTATAACTCAAAGAACATATTTTTCCCATCAGAGTTCCAATCAGATTTATTATGAGTATCTTTGATGTCAACATGAGTTTTAACAGGCAAACAGGTGTGATGGCCACATTATTGCCATTATTACTGAATCTGCCTATGCCTAAAAGGAAGTACGATATACCAGTTCTGTTGTTTGTTATACAGAGGCAATGCAGGCTGCTTTTGTTCATGCAATATGCCGTTTACCAAGTATGGCTTGGTTCAGGAAAATGTCACTGCATGGTTCAATATTTCAGAGTCTCCTAAGTTTAAAATATAGGACACACTCTAAACATTAAGTATGTTGCTAGCTCATCTTGAGTGTCACTTCAACAATTGCTGAAGTTTTTATATAGCTCTTAAAATGCCCCACATGTAGGAGTCAATTAAAATAGTACATATGACTAAAAGCTAAAAATCTGCATTTTTATTTCTGTTGCAGTTTTGTAATCAACCACGAACGATGAAACCTTCCATAGCTGAGATGCTTCACAGAGGAAGGATGTTGTGGATAATTCTTCTAAGCACAATTGCTCTAGGATGGACTACCCCGATTCCCCTAATAGAGGACTCAGAGGAAATAGATGAGCCCTGTTTTGATCCATGCTACTGTGAAGTTAAAGAAAGCCTCTTTCATATACATTGTGACAGTAAAGGATTTACAAATATTAGTCAGATTACCGAGTTCTGGTCAAGACCTTTTAAACTGTATCTGCAGAGGAATTCTATGAGGAAATTATATACCAACAGTTTTCTTCATTTGAATAATGCTGTGTCTATTAATCTTGGGAACAATGCATTGCAGGACATTCAGACTGGAGCTTTCAATGGTCTTAAGATTTTAAAGAGACTATATCTACATGAAAACAAACTAGATGTCTTCAGAAATGACACCTTCCTTGGCTTGGAAAGTCTAGAATATCTGCAGGCAGATTACAATGTCATTAAACGTATTGAGAGTGGGGCATTTCGGAACCTAAGTAAATTGAGGGTTCTGATTTTAAATGATAATCTCATCCCCATGCTTCCAACCAATTTATTTAAGGCTGTCTCTTTAACCCATTTGGACCTACGTGGAAATAGGTTAAAGGTTCTTTTTTACCGAGGAATGCTAGATCACATTGGCAGAAGCCTGATGGAGCTCCAGCTGGAAGAAAACCCTTGGAACTGTACATGTGAAATTGTACAACTGAAGAGTTGGCTGGAACGCATTCCTTATACTGCCCTGGTGGGAGACATTACCTGTGAGACCCCTTTCCACTTCCATGGAAAGGACCTACGAGAAATCAGGAAGACAGAACTCTGTCCCTTGTTGTCTGACTCTGAGGTAGAGGCTAGTTTGGGAATTCCACATTCGTCATCAAGTAAGGAGAATGCATGGCCAACTAAGCCTTCCTCAATGCTATCCTCTGTTCATTTTACTGCTTCTTCTGTCGAATACAAGTCCTCAAATAAACAGCCTAAGCCCACCAAACAGCCTCGAACACCAAGGCCACCCTCCACCTCCCAAGCTTTATATCCTGGTCCAAACCAGCCTCCCATTGCTCCTTATCAGACCAGACCACCAATCCCCATTATATGCCCCACTGGGTGTACCTGTAATTTGCACATCAATGACCTTGGCTTGACTGTCAACTGCAAAGAGCGAGGATTTAATAACATTTCTGAACTTCTTCCAAGGCCCTTGAATGCCAAGAAACTGTATCTGAGTAGCAATCTGATTCAGAAAATATACCGTTCTGATTTTTGGAATTTTTCTTCCTTGGATCTCTTGCATCTGGGGAACAATCGTATTTCCTATGTCCAAGATGGGGCCTTTATCAACTTGCCCAACTTAAAGAGCCTCTTCCTTAATGGCAACGATATAGAGAAGCTGACACCAGGCATGTTCCGA
Source organism: Homo sapiens (assembly GCF_000001405.40). Taxonomy (NCBI): domain Eukaryota; kingdom Metazoa; phylum Chordata; class Mammalia; order Primates; family Hominidae; genus Homo; species Homo sapiens. The sequence continues at coordinate 165,189,399 of NC_000003.12, read as the reverse complement.
GGCCTACAGAGTTTGCACTACTTGTACTTTGAGTTCAATGTCATCCGGGAAATCCAGCCTGCAGCCTTCAGCCTCATGCCCAACTTGAAGCTGCTATTCCTCAATAATAACTTACTGAGGACTCTGCCAACAGACGCCTTTGCTGGCACATCCCTGGCCCGGCTCAACCTGAGGAAGAACTACTTCCTCTATCTTCCCGTGGCTGGTGTCCTGGAACACTTGAATGCCATTGTCCAGATAGACCTCAATGAGAATCCTTGGGACTGCACCTGTGACCTGGTCCCCTTTAAACAGTGGATCGAAACCATCAGCTCAGTCAGTGTGGTTGGTGATGTGCTTTGCAGGAGCCCTGAGAACCTCACGCACCGTGATGTGCGCACTATTGAGCTGGAAGTTCTTTGCCCAGAGATGCTGCACGTTGCACCAGCTGGAGAATCCCCAGCCCAGCCTGGAGATTCTCACCTTATTGGGGCACCAACCAGTGCATCACCTTATGAGTTTTCTCCTCCTGGGGGCCCTGTGCCACTTTCTGTGTTAATTCTCAGCCTGCTGGTTCTGTTTTTCTCAGCAGTCTTTGTTGCTGCAGGCCTCTTTGCCTACGTGCTCCGAAGGCGTCGAAAGAAGCTGCCCTTCAGAAGCAAGCGGCAGGAAGGTGTGGACCTTACTGGCATCCAAATGCAATGCCACAGGCTGTTTGAGGATGGTGGAGGTGGTGGTGGCGGAAGTGGGGGTGGTGGTCGACCAACTCTTTCCTCTCCAGAGAAGGCCCCTCCCGTGGGTCATGTGTATGAGTACATCCCCCACCCGGTTACCCAAATGTGCAACAACCCCATCTACAAGCCTCGTGAGGAGGAGGAGGTGGCTGTTTCATCAGCCCAAGAAGCAGGGAGTGCAGAACGTGGGGGTCCAGGGACACAACCACCGGGAATGGGTGAGGCTCTCCTAGGAAGTGAGCAGTTTGCTGAGACACCCAAGGAGAACCATAGTAACTACCGGACCTTGCTGGAAAAAGAGAAGGAGTGGGCCCTAGCAGTGTCCAGCTCCCAGCTTAACACCATAGTGACGGTGAATCACCATCACCCTCACCACCCAGCAGTTGGTGGGGTTTCAGGAGTAGTTGGGGGAACTGGGGGAGACTTGGCAGGGTTCCGCCACCATGAGAAAAATGGTGGGGTGGTGCTGTTTCCTCCTGGGGGAGGCTGTGGTAGTGGCAGTATGCTACTAGATCGAGAGAGGCCACAGCCTGCCCCCTGCACAGTGGGATTTGTGGACTGTCTCTATGGAACAGTGCCCAAATTAAAGGAACTGCACGTGCACCCTCCTGGCATGCAATACCCAGACTTACAGCAGGATGCCAGGCTCAAAGAAACCCTTCTCTTCTCGGCTGGAAAGGGCTTCACAGACCACCAAACCCAAAAAAGTGATTACCTCGAGTTAAGGGCCAAACTTCAAACCAAGCCGGATTACCTCGAAGTCCTGGAGAAGACAACATACAGGTTCTAACAGAGAGAAGAAAATATATTAGTGCTTTTTTTTTTTCAAAAGAAAAGGAAAATAAAAGAAATATATCCCTTGCTCCCTTTACACTTGTCCCAGTAACTCCATCCTCACGATCTTTCCTACCCTGAACAAAACTAAAACCGCATGATAACTAGAGAATACAGATGTATGCTCTCCCCTCTCAGATGCGATTTGGAGGAAGGGCCATACTCAGATCATTAATCAATGAAAGTGCCTTCGCAGACTTTTGCCAGCAAATGTTATCATTATTTTTTTATACTGAAACTTGAGACTTTGACTGTGCCATGTATAAGATATACTGGGGATCATTGTATGGATCCTAATTAAGTAAAATTCAATGTGTCTTTTTATTTTCAGTAACTATTTTTTTTATAGTTGTAGTTTTGATTTAAAGGGGGGGAAACAAGTTGACATTTGTCATTTGTGGCTTTCTTTCTTATCATCATGGCACAGATTCTGTACATGTATTAACAATGCAGTTTGCTGCATGCCTGGAAACTGCAAGATGGGGAGGGAGGGGGCGGGTCTTGCTCGAATGTTCTCACTCACTATCTTGTCTCTCATACACATATCCATCTGCAGACCATGGTCCCTAAACCTGCAGTTTCTTCCTGCTGGTGCAGGTACACACACACACACACACACACACACACACACACACACACACTCCATACCATTTCCATTCAACTCAATCTGCTTAGTTCGGGTTTGATCCATTTTTCTCCTCTCCATAGTTCTACCACCCTTCACTGCTAGTGTACAGCTCACAGCATCTCTCCTACCACCCTGGGAAAAGTCACATTCTAGGCTGGATTCTACTGAAGTAGAGGCCTGGTGGTTTAACAGCCGAAGACACACGCCTAGGGATGAGCACCCTCTTTGTGACACTTCATCCTGATGCCAAGATTTTTTGGAGAACATCTGCACTTTCTTATATATATATATAATATTAAAAAAAGCAACTGGGTATATATCACTAACAGCTTTGTAGGAAGCACTTTTAATGTTTTCTCTCTCACACACAAAGATTCAAAAGAAATGTGCATATATTTATTCTGTAATTTCAGTGATTATAAATTGTAAAGGTAATGTTTAATCATTGTATAGTGATTATGCCTCTGGTATAGCTTTCCTAATAAAAAGTTTTTGAAAAACATAATACATTATATATAGAGGATACAAAGCTTGAACCTTAAACTCCAGCTATGCCATGCCTTTCGTGCTTCCATTTTAGAAATGATTTCTTTTACTTGTTACACAGAAAGTAATTTATTAACGGGTTTGATGCACTGTGATGTTGATAAATCTTATATCCCACCATCTCTAGTCCAAACCAGGATACAATTGAGACTTAAAATGTGACTTACGGTTTACTTTTTTTTCCTTGAATTATGAATTTCAGTCTTAGTAACCAGTGATGCACTGTTTCCCAGGCAAGATGCAAGGGGGAGAAAATAAAGTAACTAGATCGCTAAGAAGTACAGGATTAATTAGGAGAAGATAATCTAGGATCCATACATCTTAAGATAATAAATGAGATAAAGAAATTGGAAAGTAAAATTGCTATTGTTTTTAAAATATGTAGTCCAATTACATGCACACCCTCACACACCCACACGCTTCCACACACACCCACACAACCCAATAAATATCAAAGGCCGTGGAGCCAATTTAGATGGCCAGAATCCTGTGAAAGCTGTCACTTATATTTGGTTACCATTTTCCAACCACTTACAGCAACTGGCCCCAATAACGCTTGAACTAAGTCAGAGGATGCTGAATGAGTTTTTCGTCATATGACATTAAAATTATGTTGAAAAATTAACCTGACAACAAACCAAGTTTAGATCCATTTATATGTGAGCGAAACCAAAGAATATTGGATTTTTATGGTGCCGGTATCAAATTGGTGGAGGAAACTTAAGAAAACAGACCTATGAGGCAGGCACTTATCTAAGTAGGCCATTAGAGGGCAGCAGAGTTCCAGAGATCCACAGACCCAGGACCCGCAGAACTGTGCAGCGAGGTCAGTGCTCTCTGCTAGGGTTTCCTCAAAGTGCCCATAGCAGGAATTATCATTAGGTGTTGAATGTAATTCATCACAAGTCACTGAAGCCTTACATCACAATTTTTTCCACAAAAAGAGAATGAGTCTAGCAGCTTCTGAAGGTGTGTGACTACAATAGCACGAAGGCATTGTAGTAACAAAATGAAAAGCCCCATGAATGTCTACAAGAATATATTTATATTCCTCTTAATTAATTATATAGAAATATCAGCATAGGTATGCATAAAAATAAAAAAGACAAGTATATACATATAAAATTGCAGTTTTGGGGCTCTTGACATGTATCTATAACTTTTATGCTCAATTATTTGAATATAATTTGGAATTATTTTAAAAGGAAAAAGCCCATGAACATCATTCACTTTATCTGTCTGTGTAATATTGAAATGAAGCTCTTATGCAGAAGAGTCAGGCCAATTATTAGATAAGTGTCATTCTTCTTTTTTGTTTTATCTTCTTCTTTTCTTTCTTGTTTTCTTTTTTTACTTTCCCACAAATCACCTTTCTTCTGGTTATCCCACCTCCTTTATTCTTTCTAATCATCTGTCTCTTTTTTTTAAGGTACATAAAACCAATATTACACTTTAAGTGTTTTAAAACCCAAATTACAGAGTCTCTCTGAACTAGCAATTTATCATACTTCCATTCCTCCTAATCAAATGGTTTGGGGAATAATAGAAAGCATATGCATAGTAAAAACTTAAAAGTGCAAAGCTAGATGCTTCAGATAGTAGTCCTCATTTCCTTAATGACCACGCACATATTCATAACACAGCATTTTATACAAATCAGGCTAAAGTACAATCTCAAAAGACCCTGGTGCTTTCAACGTTTGAAAAATGAGTGCCCATAAACAATATCAAATCACAATATAACTTGATAATTATAATGTTTATATTTCACTTATTAAATACAGAAAGACTGTTTGGTCTTAAATATAGGTGGTACTTTCACCCTTGAATGAGAAATAAATTTATTTATTTAGCAAAAATAAATTTATATGAGAATGGAATTTTGTATTTAAGGGAATAGTTTTTTGCTTTTATGGAATTTTCCACCCCCTGGTTAGGACATTTATTTTTGCTGTGCATTCAAATTACCTAAGTTAGCTTCAGTTTATAATACTAGATCTGATTTCATTAAACACGATGGATATTCATGTAGGTACTATGATTATAATATGTTTTATGTTTTTGCTGTAGTAAAATATTTATTTTTAAGAAAAAGTTAGATTACTAATTCACTTCATTGTGAGGACTAACTTGACTAAAGCAGACCCAGTTCTGGCAGTTACTTGCTATTATTCATTGCTATTTTTATTACCAAGTATAGTAATAATATTTAGAAATAATAAAAATATTGTAATATCTCAAACTATAAGATGATTAGTGAGAAATAATTGGAAATGAACTATTAGTTTAATTCAATAAGTTTTAACATCATGTTATACATCATATGTGGTATTATTTATGTAGATGTTTTTATATTTTTATTTAGAATGCTATATTATTTTATGTAATTGCAAATACTTAAATATAAGGATGATGAACACTATAATTTTAATAAACTTTAGAGAGAGGGAATCGAAAGGAAAATTTAATGACTGAGCTTGAAGATTTCTTTTGAAACCTGGCACTATTACTTTAAACCCTTGATATTTGAAAAGAATATGTTTAGGATTATGAAAATTTATAATGCAATTATAGAACAAAAGAACTTTAACCATCGCAACACATTATTTTGATTCACTCAGTGTAAATTCATCATTCGTACAGTCCTGTCCTTTTGCAATTATGTTGTCTAGGACAATAAATGTTACGCTTTTGTGAAATGGCTATGACAAAGGGAGCATTAATGAAATGCTACACAAAATTTGAGAAATACGACTATAACAAGTCAAGATAATGTGAGAGGAAGTGGTAATCAATGGACACTCCATCTTAAGTGATTTGAGCTAGTTTCATTTGAACTTAGACATTTATAACTTACACTTAGCTCAAAATTTTCCACTGAATATTCAGGTGAACAGAACACAAATAAGTATCACTAAAATCACCGTATTCACTTCAATATACTATGTTCTGTTTAATATACTATAGGCCTTTTAAAAGTAATAGGAGCAATAACACATGTATAATTGGGCCATTGTGTGTGTGTGTGTGTGTGTGTGTGTATATAGTACTATTATATATGTATATACATTGTATATACATGTATATAGTTTATATATGCTGAATTTTACTTATATGTAAATTACACATTTTTTATTACATGTATAACAATTTCTGTTTTATGCATTTATTTTTCTTGCTTCTGTCTAGCCACCATCCAAGAGAAGCTGGATGAAATTTTGAGTCTTCACTTTCGGAATATTCACATGTAAAAAGTAACACTGTAATTAATATTTCTGAATTTATAAGTTATTTTATCTTCCAATTTGTTTCATTTTGTTATTTAAATCATAGGGAATACATCTCAGTGAGATTGTGATTTATTTTAAGTCTTCAGAAGTCTTCAGAGTATAGGAACTAATTTCTTCATATAAGTATGCAACATAAGTCTAATAAAAAGCAAGTACTTATTTTTCCATTTTTCTATTTATAGAATAAATTTTACAGGTAAAAACAATTTAATAACTTCATTAATTAGACAAGACCTTTTAAATTTATCTAGGTCTGTAGGAAAAGTGAGATCTTAAAGGTGAAATATAAGAGAAGTAAGATCCAGTTTAAGACATCCAACATCCCATTTTACTTTTAAAACATCATCCTTAAATTAAAATGTTTGATAATAGTAGTAATAATAATAAACAAATATTACCATCTTTAGTTTGCTTATAGGGAATCTGAATTGAAGAGACATAATTTTTATATGGAGAAATCAAGTGTATACCAGGGGTTAGTAGTTGTGAAGAGGCAACATGCTATGGCCATCTTCTTTTATTTTGGTAATTTTTACTCCTGATAATACAAATTCTTGAGAAATTGTATTTTTTTCTATTGCACTCACACAGATGATTTTTTACATTAAAAAATTCTAATAGAAAATAATTCTTGTGGTGGATTTCAAAGATATACAGCCCAAAGGCATCATAATAAATTTACAGTTCGACCCAAACCAACTCCTACAGTACCATTAAACTTTAAAACCCAATGAATGTTAGTAAAAAGAAGCCTTTCTTCTTCACCACCCAGTAACAGAAAGGCTCAGCATGCCTAATTAAATGTTTCTTGGCCAAGTGTGGTGGCTCAACGCCTGTAATCTCAGCACTTTGGGAGGCCGAGGCGGGAGGATCACGAGCTCAGGAGATCGAGACCATCCTGGCTAACACGGTGAAATCCCGTCTCTACTAAAAATACAAAAAATTAGCCGGGCGTGGTGGCCGGTGCCTGTAGTCCCAGCTACTTGGGAGGCTGAGGAGAATGGTGTGAACCCAGGAGGCGGAGCTTGCAGTGAGCCGAGATTGCGCCACTGCACTCCAGCCTGGGGGACAGAGTCAGACTCCGTCTCAAAAAAAAAAAAAAAAGGTTCTTTAGTATATTTAGTCTATCTACTTACCAATAAGAAGTACAATGGATTGATGAGTTTGCAATGTATTAAACTGTATCAAAACCAAACAAATTGTATCAAGAAGAATATGCCATTGACTTAGATAAAAACAAACATGAATACTTTATTTTGAGTCAATTACAATAAGTGGGAGATTGTTCTCTTGAAAATGAAAGGTATTCTATTACCCATATTACAATGTGTTATATGTGAAGACAGAGCTGTTGTATTTCTGATACATTTTGTTAAGAACCTGTAGGTTTAGAGTCTTTTTGAATGATGAAACACTGCATAATCATTTTTGGTAGCTTTGAAACGAGAGCATAACTTCCCTAAACCTGGGCATGTCAAAGTTAGCTCTGAAAAAAAAGATGTTGAAAGAAAGATATCACCTGATTGTGTGGAGAGATGGAAAGAAGTTCTGTTCTTCCTGCAGAACTTATTGCTTTCACTGTTGCTGACATCCCTGCTTCTACTTCTGTTTCTGACTCAGTGCCAAGATATTCTTATGACTAAGGGCATATGCATTGAGCTCAAATCAGGTGTCAAAGCAAGATCAGAGATTGATGACAATTCTTACACCCAGTAACAAAATGCCCAAGTCACTTAGTTTTGTACCTAGGCTGAGAAGATAATTCAACTTATATCCCCTGATTATGATATCATTCATAAGTCTGATGAAAAATGTCAGAACCTATAGTAAAACTATAACTACATGTGGACATTGACAAAATCAGTTAAGTGTTTTAAAAATATGAAACTCATCTTGAAAATCTCAAAACCTTGCCTTTCCTCTTCTGAAATGCTCTTTATCTTTGCTGTGGCATCCAAAATATTGCCTTCATTAAAGCTACTAGAATCCACATATTGTTCCTCCTTTTATTTACAGTGTAAACTTTTGACTATTCAGATGTTATGTGGCCACAAAGAATTCTAAGGGGTGTTTTTTTTTTTCCTTCAGAATTCTGGTAAAACAATTTATCTTAAAATACTTTTCTTTTCGGTATGTGGTAACAAACTTTATGGTAAAAACAAGCCCATCAAAGATGTAAAGTATTAACAGATCCTGTAATTTTTTTTAAATAGAAAACCTTAAGGTTTATCTAAATTCAATCTTTCATGTGTATTAAATCCAATTGCAATTTTTTTTTCCCCTATACGTTCTCTGCTTAACCAAATTTGAATTCAAAATTGAAATCTGTTCCTCTGTTTCCTAACTGACCCTTCATTTGTTGTTTTACTTTTTTAGCTGGCAATTTTAAAAGTAGATAGAGAAAAATGTTAACTCCAAGTATAAGTATGAAATCTGTCTGTGGAATAACCAGGCCCATGAATTTTTCACTTTTTCTTTAGGAAATCTTCAACAAAAAGGACAATGGAAATATGGGGGTAAAATGAAAATGTCCTCTTTCTGAAAACCGTTTGATAAAGGCTTAATGGAGAAAGTTTGAACTAGGTTTTTGTATTCACCTTTAAGTGTCCTATCTTTGGAAGAGTTTAAATCTTGCAGTTGGTTTACTAAGCCACTTCAATTAGCATCTGTTAACAAATTCACTGAAAATCAAACCTTGATGATAACTGAACAAATTATAATTAAAAGTAAATATTAACACAAAAAATCACTAGGATGAACTGAAGTAATGATATTAAAACATTTAGATTAGTTCATGGTACAGATGTGTAAAATAAATGAGGAGGTCTTTTTTCCTCTTTTAAATAGTAATAGTTTCTTGTGTACAAACAAGAACTCCTCATTGCCTGCTAGTTAATTTTTGGGCCATTGTAACATAACTGTCCTTAGCCCATTACTAGAATGTATTTAAGAAACACAACCAATTATTATTATTTTTAAGAAAACTTAATTATCTATTAAAGTTATTATAATTTATTATGTAACGTTTCAGAGCAATGACTATTGCAGAGCCAAATATACATAGTTTAAAGTATTTTTGTTACCTGTAATATTGCTCCCCCCTTTTATTTTTATGGTTTGAATTTTAACAGTATAAATGATAATGACATTGCATTTTAATTTGGATCTTATACGCTTCTCTCTTTATAAATGTGGATAACGTAAGTGAACATTGCTCAAATGAATTCTGGATGTGTATATATATATAGATATAGATATATACATATATACACACACACACACAATGCATATATATGTGGACACCATCTACTAACATTTTTATGAAACAAATGACAGTTTACATACTGCATTATTGCACAGATGTAGTTTTTAATAAAGGCTTAAATTTAAGCTTCAAAATAGGGTAAGATGTGGTGTGGAATGTTGAACAGTATATAAAACTGTAGTTGGTAATATTTTATTTGTTAAATGAATCAGGCTTGGGTTTGACACTTACTCACTTCTCATGTTAATTTCAACATGGCTACCCAGTTGTGAGATACACCTTTCACTACTCCTATCCCATTTCAAAAATATATGTGAGCATTTCCATAAAGCATTGTGTCCTAACTCAAAGCAGGTAGCATGGAGATATTGGTTCTGTGGAACTTTTCTTCAAATTGCAATCTGCCTTTCCTAACTGCAACATGCACAGATCCGTCCTTATATCCACTGCAAGGGACATCACAGAAAAATGGAAAGAAATGTAGCAAACAGAAAATGAAGAGAGAGAGAAGATAATGTGTAATCAGCTGGGGAAAGACTTCTGAGGTAATTCTCATATGCTTGCTCATCAGCCACCATTTTGAGAACTATTATTCTCAGCAAATATCTTACCAAGCAAATACTTTATCTTTCAGAATATGCAGTTTGTTTATTCCCATGTTTGTACAAATTACTGTGGTTATTCTTTTATCTCCTGAAAATACATATCTTTCATGGGTATCAAAATTCAGTTTCAAATTCCCTTCATGCAGTAGGCCTCTATTGATACAGTAAACTAAATTTTGACTATTCTCTCAAATACTCCTGCACACTATTTACTTTATGCTGATTTGAGTATGTTGGAATATTTTACCCTAAGTGTCCTTCAGTCATTTTGCCTATTGGTGCCAAGAATTCTGGCTTTTCAATTATGTTGTAAGCACTTGAGAGCACAGATTGTCTTCAGTCTTTCGTAGCCCAGTGTCTAGGACCATATTTTGCACAGGTAAGGGCAATACATTCCGATCAAACTTCTGAGTTTCGTGAATCTTTTCCTGTTACTAAAATAGCCACATTACTACCTTTCTTCCCATTATTTTCAACACAGAGCCTGGGCAACAATAAACACTAAATAAATATTTGTTGAATAAATGAATGGACAGAGTTTTAAATATGTGTGGCCTATGGATTCTTGCAAAAGTTGAAAGTCCTGTGTATGTAACCCAGAGAAATGATGAAAAGAAATGGAGTTTGGAGTGTAAGAGAGGTGGTAAGAAATGTGACAGTATGAGAAATGACTTCTTTTACTTTTCTTAAATTTGATTATTGGCAATATACATGGTGTCTAAATAAGCAAGATACAAGCTGACTAAACAAAGAAGGCAGAGGAAAATGAGTAATATGAGCATGTCTCCAAGGAGAAACTAGGGGGAAGAAAGTAGGAAGGAAGGAAGCGAGGGAGGGAGGGGAAGAGTTACAAGATGTATTCATAGCTCCTCAGCAGTAGACAAAGCAGAGAAAGGAGCATAGCCAATACTATTCAGGTGCGGTGTTAGAAAGCTTTTGCTCAGTTGCTTAAATGTTTATAAATAAGAGCAATAATTTAGTGGGCTCTATTGATGTATTCTTTGTTATCATTGCTTAACAGCAGGTTCTACCACTTCACTGCAAATTTTACTAGAATGTTAATCCAGCCAAGATTATTAAAATAAAACAGGGCATATATAAAAGTATTATACATATTGCCTTCCTTTAAAAAGAAGAGCTGTTTAAATACATTTTTGTCTGTTCTATACAAGACAAATGTATAATAATTAACACTTGGAGTGTCAGGATTTGTGTAGTTATATCCCTTTCAGTTCTAACTCTGTTGTGGACAAAGGTGAGGAGTAATTAGATTATCAACAAAGGATTGCAGATACTCATACAAATTAATATATGAAATATATTTCTGCCTTGTAGGATCCAAATTTTAATGCATGTCAAACTGCATTTTCACTTAGGTAATGTGAGGCCTTACAAAGAGAAGAATATGCATCTGTATTCTTATTAAACTTTGATTCTTGAAATGCTATGATCACGTTCTCTTCTAGCTTACTGAAAATGTATAGTAATCAACCAGAGTTTAATTGATGGTAAATTTAACCCAAAGAGAAATATTTAAGGCAGTTGTAAGAACAAAGACATACTTTATACAATAAACGGAAGGTAAATATTTTTATTAAAGATATGAATATCCATATAAAAATTCAGAGTGCTTTTTGGGTCTGGAAGTTTGGCACTTTATTCCTACACCTTAGTTGTCTTGAATGTTTGACTTTGTGTTGAAATTGTATATTTTCATTGTCATTTTACATTGTCCTTGAAATATGCTTGTGTTTGAATTCTAATCTTATTAGGGAAAAAATAATTCTAAACTTCATATTTACATTTTTAATGCATTTAGAGTCTAATTTAATTATTTTAGAGGTTATTTTGCAGAAGTACTGTGTTAAAGGGATTGCAGAATTTCAAACTATTGTCACAGAAATTAATGGCATGTAGCCCAGTATGTCTTAGAATGTAACATAGGAATATCTTCCTTGTCAATAGAATCAGGGATGTAGGGCTAATAAATTCTTCAGACATAAAATAGGTTTGTATAAAATTGACACCTAAAATACGATCACTTAGGAAGATGTAATATATTGGAATTGTAAAGTAAAAAATATGAATATGCATAGTTATGTGTACACATATGCTACAAAATTTTATTACTATTTTCATTAATAAAAATGCTATGACAAAATATTAAAAGGTTAATATACAACATACAAAAGATATGAACATGAGACATAAATTAAGTTTCATATCTTAACCCCCTGTAAAAGTCAGTAAACCTTTTAACTTGAATTTTTCTGAATAATTAACTGTGTTGGGCTGAGAGAATACCTGGTGATAATTAATAACTTCCAGGAAAAGCTTCTCCATGTCTTAAACATGTTGACAGTCAGACTTAAGTTTTATTAGAGCATTATAAATTACTATTACCTAAGAAACATAAAAAGTCATTTACATTGCATATTAAAATGTTCTTTTTTGTTTGATTGTTTATAATTCTGATTATAATATGATCAGATTGTTTGAAGAAGTTGATGATCTCCTATGATATGCATATTCCACTCTGAGTCAATATTTTCCATGAATTATGCTCCTATCTTAAAAGACCAACTTGCCAAAAACAAATGAAGACTAGATAAAGAAAAATTCAATAACTATGATTCTCTTTAAAGTGCTTACTGTAGGGATTTAGATTTCCTCTGCCTCTTGCTATTATCAAGTGAAGTGACAACTAGATAGAAAAAATACTACTGTAGCCTGTAATCTCATCCTTTTGTCCATGTTTTCCCAATAACACTACTATGGTTTAATAAAAAGCTAAGTATAAAAAGGAATCTCACAGATAACCACAGATAATAGGTCTCACTGCTAAATACCCAATTTTCCATATGAAAACAAGACATAGGATACCATAATGAGTAGAGCTATGATAATTCAGTTTGGTTTTTCAATAGTTCCAGCTATCTACCACATTCTAGAATGTGTGGAATAAGGCTAAACTGCAGAGGGATGTCTTCATAATCCAGTTACCACTTCATAAGAAAGGGGAGAATGAAGACCTATATTAAGAAAATGGGACCTCTACTAATGACAATTCTTCAGTTTACCCTTTTGAGTCTCAAACTCTGTAAGACATCATAGTGAAGGCTATCCTGACTATTTCAATAACCTCACAGAAAGACCTTAACTCATACCTTAAGAAAATTTCAGACCCTGCAATATCTCAAACCTTTAAAAATGAATTGCAGCTGAAGGCATGGAAGGACTGTTATTACTCTCCTGGCATATTAATTTAGGTTGATATTGATAAATATTTCCTGAGAGTACATAGATAATGGAAAATACCTAATTACATATAAATATGGCAACAGAGTATATAGCCTAGCAAATAAAGTAAGTTTAGCAAATAATTGATTTCCCCAGGCCCATATCTTAGCTAGTGAGAGTAAAGTGTATGAGTGTGACATTTCCTGTTTGACAGAATGGGTCATAAGGAACTTTTATGGGAAAGATGTGGTTCAACAGTCTTGATATGTATAACATGTTCAGTAATAATCGGCCTCTTTTCTCTCCTCCCAATGCTTTTATCCCCAACCGACACACACACTGCTTCAACATACACACACATTATGTGCTTTCTTGACTGTTTTAAAATTACTTTTTCACTTTCAAATTATTTCAATCTGATTTAAAATGATGATATACACTGTGGGTAGGCCTCCTGAATATCCCCCAGCTCTACTTGTGGAGATATTTGAATGAAAAAAAAAAAGTGAAACTAAAGTAAGTCAATGGGTGTTTGATATATGAAATTAGAGAGAAGAATTTTTGCATATTGAGTGACTGATATTTTAAATTTTATCCAGAATTTTGATGTTAAAAATAGGCACAGATACAATAATTTTGACATTATAAAACATGCTTAGACAACCTAATTTAATAACTAAATTAGGTTGTTTTCTTCATGTAATCATGAATGTAATAAAACAACTCTTTAAGAATTGTTATCTTAGAATATTTTAAAATGTGATCTAAAATTTGAAGACACTTCTAAATACTAATAATACCAAAAATGAGCTAGATTCTTTGTTCTTTATTATGTGTATGTGGTAGAGACCTTAAAGTTGTGTTTTAGGAAAAGTTTCAACTGAATTTGAAAGTAACTTAAATTGTTATGGCTGTGTGTATGTAGATGCAGGGGTTCCTTGAATGTGCAGATTTGCAAAACAGTTTCTATTAAAATGGTTGATAAACAATTGAGCAAAGTAATAACGAATTTTGCATGTATCCATGCTTACGTTTAATGTCATTAGCTTCTAGGAGTTTTGAATCAGATCAAATTTAAATCATAGATGAGGTATCTGTGAAGCTTGGAACTCTGGCTTAGTTTTGCTAAGTGCTGAATTCATCACATAGAGCACTCAGTAAGTGTTATGCTCAAAAGACAATGAATCCTGGCAAGGCACAGTGGCGCATGCCTCTAATCCCAGCACTTTGGGAGGTCAAGGCTAGCAGATCACGAGGTCAGGAGTTCAAGACCAGCCTAGCCCACATGGTGAAACCCAGTCTCTACTAAAAATACAAAAATTAGCTGCGCGTGGTGGTGCACATCTATAATCTCTGCTACTCGGGAGGCTGAGGCAGGAAAATCTCTTGAACCGGGAGGCTGAGGTTGCAGTGAGCTGAGATTGTGCCACTGCACTCCAGCCTGGGTGACAGAGTGAGACTCCATCTCAAAAAAAAAAAAAAAAAAAAAAAAAAAGACAATGAATCCTGTCATATCTGAGAGTCTCTGTTCAGCCATTAATGCCTACGTAATCTCCAACAGGTTGTTTTAATGTTTCTGCTCTGCCAAAATCTTTTTATATAGTCAGATTTATATTATTAATAATTTTAGATGTGAAGAAATGGGCAAAGGTAATACAGAGTTGTCTACATGCCTTTCAACCAGTCTCCAGGATTCCCCAATGTTAATAACTCATATAAAGATGTTACATTTGTAAAAACTAAGAAATTAACAATGATACAATACCATTAGCTAAACTATAGGATTTATTTAGATTTCAGCACTTTTCTCATATATATATTTTTTTCTGTTTCAGGATGCAATCCAGGATATCATATTGTATTTAGTAGAATTTGGTTTTACTGATTTCTTTATTTCTGTATTCCAATCTAAAGATACTGGTAGCCTGGACTAGGGTAGTAGCATTGGAGACAGAAGGAAGCAGATGTAAAATATATTTTGAAGCCGGGAACAATAGGCTAGGTTACTGAATGGCTATCAGTCATGAAGCAAAGGAAAGGATCAAGGATAATTTATGGTTTGGGGCTTGAAAAACTTAGTGGATTGTAGATTATTTTACTGAGACGGGAAGACTTAAGGATGGGATGGGAGCATGTTTACTTGTTAAGATGTGAATATAAGCAATAATGCATGTAAAACATCTATATCAAAGACTTCCACATACTAACTGTTTAATAAATGCAGCTTTTATGAGATGGTCATTATCATTATTATATCATTATTATTAACAAGAAATATCAATATTGCCAATATTCAAGGAAACTTTCTCTGCAGGTGCCAGTGAGAGAGACGTTTATGTTTGGTTTTGCATTTTTTTCTGTTTGGAATGCTTTCAGAATCCTATCCAATAAGGATGTAAACTGGAGACACCAGCCTTTGTTTGGGATTGGAGAAGGATATGCTCATACTTTCCCATCCTTCTCTATCCAGAATTGGGTCTTAACTATAGACCCTTTAGTACCAGAGGCTTCACTGTAAGACGCCTTGTTGAGAGGGTTCTATACAATTTGGGCTAAGACATAGGGGTATAAAAAAGCATAAAATGTTAAGCAAATGGAAGAAGTTTAGAAAGGTGGAGGGAATGGTTAAAGATGAGATTAGTAAAGCAAATTGGGATCATAGTGAAAGGGCTTAAATGTAAGCTAAGAAGTTTGAAATTATCCCTATAAAAGGAAGATCATACAATTTTGTAATATCAAGATTCTAATCACTGAGAAAGCTACAGCAAAGTAACAATGAAATTCTAATGTCAAAAACCTTATAAGCAAGATGATCTCCTACATTCAGTTCATTCCTAACAGTAGTGCTCTTGAAAGCAGTAAAATGGATATCTTGGGGATTAAAGTGGTGAGTTTAACAAAGAGAGTCACTGTGGATTTTCACAGAAATACTTTTAGTAGATCCCCACTCTGAGAAAGGACCAATTGGTGCTGTAAAGTTCCAATTTTGATATGCCTTACCTCCTGTGTTCATCTTCAACCATTTCCTTCAAGTCAGAGAGAATGAAAAGATGTAGGTGCCAAAAATGAGGGATTGCCATTTATTTCCTATGTAGGATGATAAAATATTTTAGAATCTGCCATGTGTTTCATAAAGAGCAAAGTAGAAGTTAATTCCAGCTGAGCTAGAAAAAAGTGGGGTATCTGCAGGGTAGGATACAGCAGCATCTATTCATAATGCTATGGGACATTTTCTTTGTGTTGTACACAGCCAGGTGACCCAGAATTTGCTAACTGCATGATTTTACAAGTGTCAGCATGTACCTAGCTTTTATGTCAATACAAAGAGATTCTGATTGTAGTCATATAGCTTATATTTAATTTTGTGATGGGTTCATTTTACAAGTATCTTGAATGTCAAGGAGAGACAATAGGGCAGCTTCAATGTGATGCTAGATGTGAAAACAAGAAATAACTTATATATGTATCAAGACACTAAAAATTAAGTGTTCTTCTACCATTCAAGTGATTGAGGGTGGGTACATGTGTGTTGGTAGGAGATCAAATGCCTGGGCAAAGATTCCTTTAAACTGTTAAGTATCCTTCATACTTTATTCATAGTTTCTCAGTAATATCATTATTGGGCATTACACTCATTACCTAAAATTGTTTCACTGTGTACACACAAGTCCTGAGACTTACTTAGATCTTTCAATGCATAGTTGGTGAGTGGTACAAAGAGTACTGGAGCTGACTTCACTTACTCTTCTGTTTGTGATCTCATATTAAATTTGCCTTCTTCTATGGGGCCTTACATCTTTTATTTATTTAATCTGCTTATGTTATTCTTCTGAGCAAATGCACAAGCCAAGTAGTAAAGAATGATTTTAAAAGAGGCTTAAAGCATTCGTACAAAAAAGAAAATGTTATTCAGAAAATGAATGCTTTTATTCAGGTTTAGCATGGCAGAATCCAGGTCATGAATGGCATTACTACATTTTGTCCTTTAACTGCAGCCCCAGGAGATAGATGAAATCCCAATAAAGATTGACTTCACATAGGCAAATGATGGATAAGAGTATAGATGTTAAAAACATTCCCACTCTTTCCTTAACCACAGAGTTATTTAATTTTGCTGGTGTTATTTGAAATAATGGCTAACTTTCTGCTTTGCTTTTCCTGTGTAAATACAGCCACTACAGTGCTGATTGGAGGACCTGTTATTTTTTATAATTTAAATATTGTTAGAATAAAAGCAGAAAAAAATGCCTTCAATAATTATTTTGCAATTTAAAAATATCTTCAGAATTTCTTTGGATAAGCTTCTGTTGGCTTCTACCTTAAAGTAAGAGAAGTAAATTGTAAAGGCTTAATTTTGAATGACAGACATTGCTGGTGATACAGATGTCTGATTCTTAGTTATACTAGTTACGTTTCCACACTAGTATCTTTCCCTGTATTTTTATCTTCTCTTATTTTGAGTGAGAAACTTAATCCTATCCCTTTAAATTGTAAACCTGCTATAAAGCAGGCAACATGGGGGAAGGAATTTTATGCAAAATAATAATGTAAAATGAAGCCTCTTAAATGATGCTGGAATCGTACCTTTAAGGCATGGTCTAGGAATGATACAACATCACTTAACAAATTGGTCAGGTACTAACAAGAATATATAGCACCATATTTTGCACAACGTTATTGAACATCTACTGTTTCAAAGCAAGTTATGGTGAATACAAAAGCATATGATCTCAAGGAAATTACAGACTAGTTTCGGAAGCCATAACTTACACATGTAAAATTATTTTAAGCTATTAAAAACTATTAGTGTAGAAATAATGTGTGACAAGAATTAAGAAGGGATTAAAATATAGTTTGACAGAAAGATATCTGTTATCTATTTGATGTTGTCAACACCCAGAATCAGCCCTGAGCAAGCACCTCTGAAATGCTGGATTATAGAAGTCACGATGCCACAGCTTCCTGTTCACAGTTCATTTTTGTTTCAGCTTGCATTAGCTGAAATCAACTATTAAGTGTATAAAATAGCAAAGTCTGGAAATTACTTCTTCTTTTTTTTTTTTTTTTTTTTAATTGACAGAGTCTCCCTCTATTACCAGGCTGGAGTGCAGTGGTGCGATCTCGGCTCACTGCAACCTCCACCTCCTGGGTTCAAGCGATTCTCCTGCCTCAGCCTCCTGAGTATCTGGGACTACAGGCACCCACCGCCATGCCCAGTTATTTTTTGTATTTTTAGTAGAGACAGGGTTTCACCACATTGGCCAGGATGGTCTCGATCTCCTGACCTTGTGATCTGCCTGCCTCAGCCTCCCAAAGTGCTGGGATTACAGGTGTGAGCCAATGCACCTGGCTGATTAACCACAATTCTATGCTTAAAAGTCCTCAGCTGAAGAATCGCTTAATGGCATAGTTATAATTATTCAGACCATTGCAATATTTTAAAAATTTCTGCATTTAGAAAGTTGCTGACTTGTTCAAACAACTATCTCTGAAATTATTAAGCACTCCTTTTGCAAATAAAAAATCTTATATCATCACAATTTAATATATTAATTTAAGCATATTGTATCAAAACAAACTTTGGCTTCTTGAACTTGATTGCACTGCCATCTTTAGCTATCTCCGGATTTGTTCATAATTATTGTTTCCAGGCAGCCCCTTTATGAATGATAGAAGAGGCCCTGCTTACATTGCTGTGAGAGTGGCTGAGGTTATGCTGGTTGTATAGTTTGGGATTAGGTTTCTTCAGAATCCTCTAGGTTGTTATAACTGTTCTCTCCACTCTGCACATATTCTGTTAATTTTAATAAATAATTATCTCTGAAGTAAATCTATAGAGTCAGCAATATTTTGCCCCTCAGAACTTGGAAACAGAAGAGGTTGTGCTCTGAAAGTAAAAATCCTAGCCATAACGCAATGCATTCGTAATGGAGAATGTTAGTCATCTATAGAATCAGCTGTGCAGTTATGTCTGTTGAAGAATTCGTTATATAATAACATTAGGTTACAATAATTTAGGAGTAGTCTCAGAGATTCATGACAGGAACAAGATATCATATCAATCCTATCAATTATATATCCTGGATCTATTTCTGAAATTATTCCTCTCCACCTCTAGGAAACCATTATTTTATTCACTATAATTTCTTCCTGAACTTTGGCAATAACCAATTATTTTAACTATATTTACTTTTAACCCTACCTCCATAAACACCTTTTTCACAGTAGCCAAAGTGATAAGGTAATTCTAATAAATTTCTTTCTTGCTTAAAGACCCTTCAACAACTCCCTCTGGTACTTCTAAGAAAGTTCAAAATCTGGTGGTTCCAAGATGGCAGAATAGGAAGAGCTTTGGCCTGCAGCTCCCAGCATAATCGATGCAGAAGATGGGTGATTTCTGCATTTCCAACTGAGGTACTTGGTTCATCTCACTGGGACTGGTTGAACAGTGGGAGCAGCCCTTGGAGGGCAAGCCAAAGCATGGCGGGGTATCACCTCACCTCGGAAGCACACAGCGTCAGGGGATTTCTTTTTCCAACCAAGGGGAGCTGTAACAGACTGCACCTGGAAAAACAGGACACTCTTGCCCAAATACTGCACTTTTCCCAAGGTCTTAGCAATCGGCAGACAAGGAGATTTTCGTGCCTGGCTCAGCAGGTCCCATGCCCGGTTTGGCAGGTCCCACGCCCACAGAGCCTTATTCACTGCTGGTGCAGCAGTCTGAGATTAATCTGTGAGGTGGCAGCCTGGCTGGGGCAGAGGCATCCACCATAGCTGAGGCTTGAGTACGTAAACAAAGTGGCTGGGAAGCTTGAGCTGGGCAGAGCCCACCACAGCTCAGCAAGGCCTACTGCCTCTATAGATTCCACCTCTGTGGGCACAGCATAGCTGAACAAAGGGCAGCAGACAACTTCTGCAGACTTAAACGTCCCTTTCTGACAGCTCTGAAGAGAGCAGTGTTTCTCCCAGCATGGTGTTTGAGCTCTGAGAATGGACAGACTGCCTCCTCAAGTGGGTCCCTGACCTCCATGTAGTGTAACTAGGAGACATCTCCCAGAAGGGGCCGACAGACGCCTCATACAGGCAGGTGCCCCTCTGGAACAAAGCTTCCAGAGGAAGGATCAGGCAGCAATATTTGCTGTTCTGCAATATTTGCTGTTCTGCAGCCTCCGCTGGTGATACCCAGGCAAACAGCGTCTGGAGTGGACCTCTAGCAAACTCCAAAACTCCTGCAGCTGAGGGACGTGACTGTTAGAAGAAAAACTAACAAAAGGAATAGCATCAACATCAACAAAAAGGACCCACCTGTAGGTCACCAACATCAAAGACTAAAGATAGATAAAACCACAAAGATGGGGAGAAACCAAAGCAGAAAAGCTGAAAATTCTAAATACCAGAGCACCTTTCCTCCCCCAGAGGATTGCAGCTCCTTGACAGCAATGGAACAAAACTGGATGGAGAATGACATTGACAAGTTGACAGAAATAGGCTTCAGAAGGACAGTAATAACAAACTTCTCTGAGCTAAAGGAGCAGGTTCTAACCCATCACAAGGAAGCTAAAAACCTTGAAAAAACATTAGACGAATGGCTGACTAGAATAAACAGTACAGAGAAGACCTTAAATGACCTGATGGAGCTGAAAACCATGAAACGAAAACCTTGTGACTCATGCACAAGCTTCAGTAGCTAATTAGATCAACTGGAAGAAAAGGTATCAGTGATTGAAGATCAAATGAATGAAATAAAGCAAGAAGACAAGGTTAGAGAAAAAAGAGTAAAAAAAAATGAACAAACCTCCTAGAAACATGGGACTATGTGAAAAGACAAAATCTATATTTGATTGGTGTACCTGAAAGTGATGGGGAGAGTGGAACCAAGTTGGAAAACACTTATCAGGATATTATCCAGGAAAACTTGCCCAACCTAGCAAGGCAGGCCAACATTCAAATTCAGGAAATACAGAGAACACCACAAAGATACTCATCGCGAAGAGCAACCCCAAGACACATAACTGTCAGATTCACCAAGGTTGAAATGAAGGAAAAAATGTTAAGGGTAGCCAGAGATAAAGGTCTGGTTACCCACAAAGGGAAGCCCATTAGACTTCACTTGGTGGATCACTTGGCAGAATCCCTACAAGCCAGGAGAGAGTAGGGGCCAATATTCAACATTCTTAAAGAAAAGAATTTTCAACCCAGAATTTCATATCCAGCCAAACTAAGCTTCATAAGTGAAGGAGAAATAAAATCCTTTACAAACAAGCAAATGCTGAGAGATTTTGTCACCACCAGGCCTGCCTTATAAGAGCTCCTGAAGGAAGCACTAAACATAGAAAGGAATACCCAGTACCAGCCACAGCAAAAACACGCCAAATTGTAAAGACCATCAATGCTATGAAGAAACTGCATCAATTAACGGGCAAAATAACCAGCTAACATCATAATGACAGGATCAAATTCACACATAACAATATTAACCTTAAATGTAAATGGGCTACATGCCCCAATTTAAAAACACAGACTGGAAAATTGGATAAAGAGTCAAGACCCATCAGTGTGCTGTATTCAGGAGACTCATCTCATGTGCAGAGGCACATATAGGCTCAAAATAGAGATGGAGAAAGATCTAATAAGCAAATGGAAAGCAAAAAAAAAAGCAGGGGTTGCAATCCTAGTCTCTGATACAGCAAACTTTAAACGAACAAAGATCAAAAGAGACAAAGAAGGCCATTACATAATAGTAAAGGGATAAATTCAACAAGAAGAGCTAACTATCATAAATATATATACACCCAATACAGGAGCACCCAGATTCATAAATCAATTCCTTAGAGACCTAAGAAGAGACTTAGACTCCCACACAATAATAATGGGAGATTTTAACACCCCACTGTCAATATTAGACAGATCAATAAGACAGAAGGTTAACAAGGATATTCAGGACTTGAACTCAGCTCTGCACCAAGCAGACCTAATAGACATCTACAGAACTCTCCACCCCAAATCAACAGAATATACATTCTTCTCAACACCACATTACACTTATACTAAAATTGATCACATAATTGGAAGTAAAGCACTCCTCAGCAAATGTAAAAGAACAGAAATCACAACAAACTGTCTCTCAGATCACAGTGTAATAAAATTAGAACTCAGGATTAAGAAACTCACTCAAAACCACACAACTACATGGAAGCTAAACAACATGGTCCTGAATGACTACTGGGTAAATAAAGGAATGAAAGCAGAAATAAAGATGTTCTTTGAAACCAATGAGAACAAAGACACAACATACCAGAATCTCTGGGACACATTTAAAGCAGTGTGTAGAGGGAAATTTATAGCACTAAATGCCCACAAGGGAAAGTAAGAAAGTTCTAAAATTGACGCCCTAACATCACAATTAAAAGAACTAGAGAAGCAAGAGCAAACACATTCAAAAGCTAGCAGAAGGCAAGAAATAACTAAGATCAGAGAAGAACTGAAGGAGATAGAGACACAAAAAATCCTGCAAAAAAATCAATGAATCCAGGAGCTGATTTTTTGAAGAGATCGACAAAATTGATAGACTGCTAGCAAGACTAATAAAGAAGAAAAGAGAGAAGAATCAAATAGATGCAATAAAAAATGATAAAGGGATATCACGACCGATCCCACAGAAATACAAACTATCATCAGAGAATACTATAAGCACCTCTATGCAAATAAACTAGAAAATCCAGAAGAAATGGATAAATTCCTGGACATATACATCCTCCGAAGACTAAACCAGGAAGAAGTTGAATCTCTGAATAGATCAATGACAGGCTCTGAAATTCAGGCAACAATTAGCCTACCAACCAAAAGAAGTCCAGGACCAGACAGATTCACAGCTGAATTCTACTAGAAGTACAAAGAGGAGCTGGTACCATTCCTTCTGAAACTATTCCAATCAACAGAAAAGAGGGAATCCTCCCTAACTCATTTTATGAGGCCAGCATCATCCTGATATCAAAGCCTGACAGAGACACAACAAAAAAAGAGAATTTTAGACCAATATCCCTGATAAACATCAATGCAGAAATCCTCAATAATATACTGGCAAACCGAGTCCAGCAGCATATCAAAAACCTTATCCACTACGATCAAGTTGGCTTCATCCCTGGGATGCAAGGCTGGTTCAACATATGAAAATCAATAAACATAATCCATCACGTAAACAGAACCAATGACAAAAACTAAATGATTATCTCAATAGATGGAGAAAAGGCCGTCAACAAAATTCAACAGCCCTTCATGCTAAAAATTCTCAATAAACTAGGTATTGATGGAATGCATCTCAAAATAATAGCTATTTATGACAAACCCACAGGTAATATCATACTGAATGGGCTAAAACTGGAAGCATTCCCTTTCAAAACTGGCACTAGACAAGGATGCCCTCTCTCACCACTCCTATTCAACATAGAGTTGGAAGTTCTCACCAGGGCAATCAGGCAAGGGAAAAAAATAAAGTGTATTCAATTAGGAAAAGAGGAAGTCAAATTGTTCCTGTTTGCAGGTGACATGATTGTGTATTTAGAAAACCCCATCGTCTCAGGCCAAAACCTCCTTAAGCTTATAAGCAACTTCAGCAAAGTCTCAGGATACAAAATCAATGTGCACATGTCACAAGCATTCCTATAAACCAATAAGAGACAAACAGAGAGCCAAATCATGAGTGAACTCCCATTCACATTTGCTACAAAGAGAATAAAATACCTAGGAATCCAACTTACAAGAGATGTGAAGGACCTCTTCAAGGAGAACTACAAACCACTGCTCAAGGAAATAAAAGAGAATACAAACAAATGGAAGAACATTCCATGCTTATGGATAGGAAGAATCAATATCATAAAATGGCCATACTGCCCAAGGTAATTTATAGTTTCAATGCCATTCCCATCAAGCTACCAATGCCTTCCTTCACAGAATTGGAAAAAACTACTTTAAAGTTCATATGGAAACAAAAAATTTCCAAGACAATCCTAAGCCAAAAGAACAAAGCTGGAGGCATCATGCTACCTGGCTTCAAACTATACTACAAGGCTACATCAACCAAAACAGCATAGTACTAGTACCAAAACAGAAAGATAGACCAATGGAACAGAACAGAGGCCTCAGAGGTAACACCACACATCTACAACTATCTGATCTTTGACAAACCTGACAAAAAGAAGAAATGGGGAAATGATTCCCTATTTAATAAATCGTGCTGGGAAAACTGGCTAGCCATATGTAGAAAGCTGAAACTGAATTCAAGATGGATTAAAGACTTAAATGTTAGACCTCAAATCATAAAAACCCTAGAAGAAAACCTAGGCAATACCATTCAGGACATAGGCATGGGCAAGGATGTCATGACTAAAACACCAAAAGCAATGGCAACAAAAGTCAAAATAGACAAATGGGATCTAATTAAACTAAAGAGCTTCTGCACAGCCAAAGAAATTACCATCAGAGTGAATAGGCAACCTACAGAATGGGAGAAAATTTTTGCAATCTACCCATCTGACAGAGGGCTAATATCCAGAATCTACAAAGAACTTAAACAAATTTACAAGAAAAAAAAAACAACCCCACAAAAAGTGGGTGAAGGATATGAATAGACACTTCTCAAAAGAAGACATTTATGCAGCTATCAGACACATGAAAAAATGCTCATCATCATTGGTCATCAGAGAAATGCAAATCAAAACCACAATGAGATACCATCTCACGCCAGTTAGAATGGTAATTATTAAAAAGTCAGGAAACAACAGATGCTGGAGAGGATGTGGAGAATTAGGAATGCTTTTACACTGTTGGTGGGAGTGTAAATTAGTTCTATCATTGTGGAAGACAGTGTGGCAATTACTCAAGGCTCTAGAACTGGAAATACCATTTGACCCAGCCGTCCCATTACTGGGTATATACCCAAAGGATTATAAATCATGTTACTATAAAGACACATGCACACGTATGTTTACTGCAGCACTATTTACAATAGCAAAGACTTGGAACAAATCCATCAATGATAGACTGGATTGAGAAAATGTGGCACATATACACCATGGAATACTATGCAGCCATTAGAAAGGATGAGTTCATGTCCTTTGCAGGGACATGGAAGAAGCTGGAAACCATCATTCTATGGTTTGTGATAGCAAACTATCACAAGGACAGAAAACCAAACACGGCATGTTCTCACTCATAAACAGGAGTCGAACAAAGAGAACACATGGACACAGGGAGGGGAACATCACACACGGTGCCTGTGGGGGAGTGTGGGGCTCCCGTAGGGATAGCATTAGGAGAAATACCTAATGTAAATGACGAGTTGATGGGTGCAGCAAACCAAGATGGCACATGTATACCTATGTAACAAACTTGCACGTTGTGCGCACGTACTCTAGAACTTTAAGTATAATAATAATAAAGAAAAGAAATTTCAAAATCTGTAATATATGCAGGATTCCCCTGCAAGGTCTCTACTTCTCAACTACCTGCCTGCCTACACACACCTCAATCATTAATCACTCTTCTCTCATTCACTAAGTTCCAGCCACACCTGCTTTGTTAATTACTTAAAATACCCAAGCAATTTCCCACCTGAAGATCTTGTTCCATGTTTCCACTGCCTAAGTCTCTTCCTCTAGTCCTTGGTAGGGTCCATTCATTCATCCTTTAATACAGATCTCAATCACTTCTGTAGGGAAGCCTTCCCTAACTTCCCAAGGAAAACTGGGTCTTTTGTACTGTAGTCACATACCACCATTTATTTTTCCTTCAGAGTAATAAAGGCAGTTGTAATTTCTTATTTGTGTGATTACTTCTTTAATGAATGACCCCCTCACTAAATTATAAGTTCACTAAGAGTAGAAACCATGTCTGCTTTGTTAATGTGGTCTCTTCGCTGATTTGTTTAGTGCTTAGCACATGATCTGTGTTTAGCAAACATTTTTAAATGAATGAATCAATGAATAAATGAAAGCTAAAACCTTATCAAGTGTATTGTAACCACTTTGAAGAAGAATTATTAAAACCAATAACCAGCTAAAGGAAATTAGTGAGCAAGAACTTCCTACTACTTTTCCAATACTGCCCCAGAGATGTTGATGCCTCATGAGGAAATAGCAGGTCAAGTATCCTGCCATGAAACAGAATACATTATCTATTAAATAAATAAATAAATAAATAAATAAATAAATAAATAAAAATTAAAAATTAAAAAAAAGATTGTCTAGTTATCTATTCTTGCTTTGATTTTATGTTCACGAAACAATGCTATTTTCACTTTTTAATTTCTTTATTTTTTTCAGAAAGAAAAGTCACTGTAAAGTTCATGTAATTATTCTGATATCTGTGATATAGTTCTCACTATAAATAGATATTGATATTCTGGTTTATATATCATCCCTTTTATTATTTTGGTGAATACACGTCAGCCTCATAAATCTAAACACCTCTCCTTGGGTGCAGAGAATGAAGAATAGCTTGGAAGATAGAATATTGAGGAATCTAACCCTCTCAAGCCTGCAGTAGACCTTATATTAAAGGTGTGAGCAAAATCTAACATAAGGAGAAATCCAGATTTCTAGTAAGATTATTTTAAAAATATCTAGATGGAACTATATATATGACAGAAATTGGTTTCAAAGGCAAGATATGAGGTTAGGAATTCAATAGTCAAAACAATGAAAATGAGAAAAGGGAGTAGAACTGGAGAGGGGTCTGACAAAATTGTCTGCCAAAGGTACTGTTCATGGTGATGGGTGCCAGCAGTAATACATGGTGGCTTCTGAGCCTAAATTTAAAGCACAACATGCATCAGAGATATCAAAGACGGAACATAAATGCAGCATCATAGTAAATTTAAATTGAATGTCACCTGTGAGTCCAGAGAGGACACTGTTTAACCTTTCCAGGGAGGCAGGAAAATGTGGAGTGTGCGGTATAGTGTGTTGATTAAGAGACTTGTTCTGGAGTTAGAATGCCCGCTATTGAATCCGAGCACTGTATTTACCAGCTGTGTGACCTCAGGCAAATCATTTAACATAATATATAAGCATTAGTTTTCCTTTCTGTAAATTGGGAATAATAATAGCACCAACTTTTAAAAGTTAAATATAAATTGTGAAATATTTATATGCATGGGTGTTTAGCACAGTGAAATACACAAATTAAATTTTGTAACTATAATATTAATAACAAGGCCCTAAATATAGTAACCTACTATGTTCAAAACATTGTAAAAAGGATTCACAAGAACAGGTAAAGTGGGGGTGGGGGAAGAGAAATAATGAGATGAATGAGACTGAATTCCTCTCAGATAGGCATTTATTATTTAATAAAGGATATTTTCTGCTGAAAAAATATCAACAGATATCCTGTTTGCGTAGGACAAATTCTATTGGCAAATGGGTTTAGTAATTCAAGAAGGAAGAAAAACGAAAGACAGAGATTAACCTGTTAGAGCCTAGATAATACATTTAACCTTTTAGAAATTTATTTTGGTAAAATATAATTAATAAAACTTACTAGAAGACAATTAGCAAAGAGATTAAGAGACATGAAAAGTGACATTCCTGTTTAAATAGAGATATTATTTAATATTAAAATGAAGTATTAATGCAAAATCTCTTATCAAATAAAAGTGATTTGTTTTTGGACTTTCTAGTGTGTATAATTGTACAATAACAACTGAATGATGCTCACCTCCTTTGAAAGATTCTGAATTACAATAATGGCATGTTTATGTAATGAAATTTGACATTTCAAAAACAAAAACTGTCTTAGAGGAGAAAGAAGAAACATCATGATAGAAATAAAATATTAATTCAGTTCACATACCCTATTACACATATATTCTAGGCAAGTGGATGGGCATTTGCAACAAATTATAACATTAGCTACTGAAATAATAAATAGTAAGAGCAAGTCAATATTTTCCTAGTACAGCATAAAATAGCGATTTGGTAATGAAAAGCTATCTCGAGCAGTTTAAAGTATCTTGGAATAGTGTATGTTCCCAGTACTGCACAGGAGCAGATTGTTAAGTCAGCTTGCAGAATAGTCACGGTAAGAAGCTGTTACATAAGCAAACCAAATAGTTCTGAATTCTTGGTTGAAACGATACTGATGAACCAATTACAATGGGATGGAAAGAAGGAATGAATAGAAAGAGTGTGCCTGAAGTTGTGGGGTGTGTGTGTGTGTGTTTGTGTATGTGTATGCTTGTAAAATAAATAAATACATTTGGCAGAAAACAAAAGGTGGAAAATTCAATTGGCTAATAAAAAACCAATGATAGCAAAAATAAAAATAATAAGGAACATCAATTGACCAAATAAAGTGGTCTTGCAAGTGTGATAATAATTTACCACTTCTTGAAACTGCTGCAAATAACGGGCTAGAAGAATCTTATTTTACCGACATCCAAGACAGAGAAGATAAAACACATTTTAACTCAGGAAAACGATACAGATCTAGAGGCAAACCTACTGATTAAAGAAATGCCAACCTAATATTAATGTGTCTAAATGTTGCCAATTAATAAGGCATTCTTAAGATGTTATAACATCAAAGCGTAGGTCTACAATCTACATATAGAGGCCTTGTGAAAATAAATTCTTGGGACCATTCTATTTTTCCGACCACTGAAGATGAGGTTGGCACCTACTTCTCTAAAATCACAATGACCCTTCTAAATTCTGACCAGTAGTTATGGTAGTAATAAACAATGTTCCACTGAGGGGTATTTATATGTGTTTAAGAAAATACAGCTACCAAATTAAAACTATGCTATTTGAATCCCATGTAATCAACGATTCTACCCTAAATATTTCCAAAAGTTTGCATTAGTATTTTTTTTTATCAAAGGCATATAATTTGCCTAATAACTTTGTATTTGTTGATCATTATGCTACATTGCAGGACACTTCTTCAGGTAGCCCTGGAGTGACCCAATTTTCCCACATACTTGTTTGTAGTTCTTATGAATAACTAGATTGTTCTGAGAATGAAACATCCTGAGATAAGAAGAAACTGAATGGAACAGCCTGGGCTCTGCTCCAGTACCTCCTAAAAACAGGATGTTTTCTCAACACTTTAACCAAGTGATTCCAGGCTCCCAGTTATATAAAACCAAGGGCAGGCTGCTTTCCAGGGTCCCTCAGTTTCTGTGCTAGAAGAGCAGAGACAGAAGAGATTCCATCCACCTGGGGCAGCTCTCCTAAGCCTAGGGCTATTCATCTTTCTTCATAAATTCCAGGCTTCTGGTGTTCCTTGCTGCTTACCTGTAGGTAATCAATCAGCTTCACATAGCTTGTGTGTAGGTGTTCTGTCTTACTGGACTCAAACACGTTAGTAACCAGTGCACAGTCAACCTGTTTTTCATACATCTTATCATTTGATGTCATAACTGCCAAGCTTGCTGTACATATTTATGTTCCAGGATCTTTTTAATACTGAAACATAACAAATTTAAATTTGTTTTGATATTCCAGATTACATTGAAACTTCTGCAAAGTTTTATTTTCTTTTTAATGTAACTTGTGGTTAAACATTTGTTTCAGATAAATAATGGAAGTTTCATTTACCCCAAACAAAATAAGTAGCAGTGGATTCTCTTTTCATAGAAGAATCTAGGGCTGAAAGGCTGAAATTAGTTTCTGGAGAAGGGACATATATTGCTTGTAATAACAAAAATTAAAACATACTGATGCCCTTGTCACACTTCAGTAACACAGCAACAAGAAATGATCTTACTTTCCTCAAACAAAAATGTTTAATACATTGCTCAGAAGGTATATTATATCTTTAGCCTCACAGAACTCTGGTTGGATTATTTCAATAAGATTTCCGAGGTAAATGGGAGAGCAAAATTTGTCCCTTTACATATATGCTCACCAATGTTCCACCTGAAGAAAAATATACACAATTTGGTTCTAACAAAACCTATGTCTACAATTAATTTTATTCATAATACAAAATGTACTAAACCTTAAATACAATTTTTAAAAACTATTTTAAAATATATTAATTTAAGGAACCATATTAGCTACTCAGCCTCAGTAGAGCAGAGCTTCTGAAAGCAATGTGTTTTTTCTTCCTAACAAACTGCAGTCATTTATGGAATATTATGTCATGAGGTAGAGAGAGTGGGATGAAATAATGAATTCTTTTTAAAGACTATGCTACTGAGGTACTGGATATCATTCTTTTCTCAGTTTTATAATATATACATGTATGTGTAAATATATATATATATATTCCCTACAGGGGATAAATTCTAGCATGAAAGTACTTTTCAGTTTTGTCTTTTATGATTACTATGTAGCATAGCTAAAAAGTGCAAATATTTATAAAAGCTGTTCACTCTGAATTTGTTATCCACAAAGGGATAATTTACCCATGGAGTGATACATTTTGAGTATTTGTTTTGATAATGTTGTTATGGTAAGCCTGTGAACATATTAAGTATTTCACCTGTCCCCATTGTTTGGAATGGCTATGGGTTGTCATAAAATATGCTCATTTTATATGACTCCATTAAACAATGGCTTAACGATTTCTGCTTGAACCGGTCTCAGTATTGAGAAGAAGGATCAGGAGATGATAAAGAAAAGTGTTATTAAGCCATACAGGATTACATGTGCCAGTCTTAACAGACCAAAGGCTTTTCTGCAAGAAAAAAAAATGTCTGTCTGTCTTTCCCTGTTTCTCTGTCTCTCTCTCCCTCTGCCATTTTTGTCAATGTATGATTGGAACCTTAGGTAAGAATAATGCTGAGGATTATAGAC
Source organism: Homo sapiens (assembly GCF_000001405.40). Taxonomy (NCBI): domain Eukaryota; kingdom Metazoa; phylum Chordata; class Mammalia; order Primates; family Hominidae; genus Homo; species Homo sapiens. Next base: position 165,158,477 of record NC_000003.12, on the reverse strand, counting down.
GTGAATAACATTCCTGGGGAATTTACATTATGGTGGAATAGTTTACCTCCATTGGCTGTAAAAATAATACATGGTTACATTTACCACCACACAGAATATGAGACTGTATGATTATAAAAACAGTTTTTTTTAATCAGGGTCATACGAAGGGTGAGACATATAAACTTCATCATACATTGTTTCCTTTGAAGTATGTATTGAGGATATAGACTTAAGAAAAGCTATAAAAATGTTTAGAGGATATTTTAGTGTTGTAATGAGCCATAACTTCAAGTACTATAAAAGGATATACAAAGCAAGATGACTGTACATCGAGTACCTGGTGTTAGTGGCTTTCATAATGTAACAGGTGTTTAGAGACACCATGAAGGGATAGCTCAATGTTTTTAATAAATTTTTTAAGTTAACTTGAATCAATTTTGTCAGAGCCATTCTAGCCTTCTGAGCCATAAACAGGAGTTCTGCATTAGAAACTTGAAGGCCACTACCTGTTCTGTTGAAGCTGATATTAGAACAAGTGGTCTTTATTCCAACACCTGTTCGTCTCTCAATTCTAAGAGCCATGCACCTGCTAGGTAAGTGCTTCTGGGAAGAGTGTGAATGGTGGGAGAAGACTGAAAAATGGTTCTGGGCTAGAGGACAGTGGCGATTTTTACCTGAACTAGCTGAGAAAACCGATGGTAAGTTTCAGATGGGTAAGTTCCACAGATTTGGGGCAACTGAACCAAGGTTGGAGAAAGTGTTGGGAACTGATAATGAACTTTACTAGAAAAAAAAAGCTTTCCTCAGATAGTACAAGAAAAATTAGACCAAAATGAAAATTGAAAATGAGAGGATATTTATAATTTGGTTTGAATGTGATGACATAACTGATAGTCTTAAAGAAAGCTGCATATGAAATGAAACAGAACTTTCAATTGAACAGACAATTTTTAGTAAATTATTTCCATAAATTTCTAATTAAATGTTAGTGATCAGGGTGGAAAAAAAGGAAAATTAGAGCTGTAGTGTGCTTTCTCTCTGTCTTAAATTGTAAATTTTAAAAATCCATATTCCTGCTAGATTAATAACATCTTAATCTGTGTCCTACCTCACATCTGTGTTGGAATGAGATAGGATAAATACTTTAGCTGAAAATATGTCATCTGAATTTAACGCACTTGTTTCAGGGAGTGGAAATTGACTTTTTGTGTGTGTGTTATGTGGTCATAAAATGTCAATTTGTATTACAAAATTTAGCACTGAGCTAATTCAGAGCCATTTAGGCTCACTAATAGGACTGTAGTGGCTCTCTGACTTCCCAGTAGCATCTGCTGAGACTGAAAATAATAGAAAAATTAACTTTAATGGCATAAGAGATTTTTGTGTTATTTGGTGCCTAAAAACACAAGTGGATGTGTATTAAGGTAGAAGAAAGCATGGGTAATATAATACTCACAGGCCCTCAGACATGAGGAAATAAATTTTTCAGTGCCTGTGGTCAGTAAAGTACATGGCGCGCCCACACTAACTGTATGCTGTGGATAATTTTAGAAGCCATAAAACAGAGAGGTGAGATGCATTCCAATGGTTTATTTGGAAACTGGATTGAGAATTATATAAAAGACTTAGCATAAAGATTGAAATTATTGCTCCAGTCTGTCCCATCCCCCAATTCTTACTTCCTTGTAAAGAAAAATATGAGAGGTATGAGAAGATACATAATCCTTGTCATTCAGAAGTGCTACATAGGGCCTGGATTTTATCTCCTTTGATTTGCCAAGTGTCTCTCAAAAGAATTTACTTAATTCTTTTATGAAAATATTAGTTTTTCCCCACTTGACTGAGATCTCTTGTGGTCTAAAGCTCTGCACATCCCAGAGTTTATCAGAATTTCTAGCATATAAACACTTTAAATACACAGTCAAGGCTGGCACAGTGGCTCACATCTGTAATCTCAGCACTTTGGGAGGCTGAGATCAGTGGATCGCTTGAGCCCAGGAGTTTAAGACCAGCCTGGGTATCATGGCAAAACTCTGTCTCTAGAAAAAAATTCAAAAGCTAACTGAGTGTGGTGTGTGTGCCTGTAGTCCTAGCTACTCGGGTGGCTGAGAGTGGGAGGATCGCTTGAGCCCAGAGACTGAGGCTGCATTGAGCTGAGATTGCACCACTGCACTCCAGCCTGAGCAAAAGAGTGAGACCCTGTCTCAAAATAAATAAATACATAAAAATTAAAAAAATAAAAATACATCCTATTTTAAAAAGTGGTTATGTTCTATAAAATTTGGGCAAACATTGAGTTAACAAATACCGAACTGCTGCTCTTAGAGGAAATATATATTATGTATAAACCAAAACAGATAGATACATACACACATGCACAGATACACATACACCTCATATTTCACATAGATTATATGTGAAATTCTTAAATGTCAGAAAGAACTCGTCCTGGTAGATTTTCTTTATTTTATAAAGGAGAAACTGCGGTTCAGAAGTGTTAAGTGACTTGCCTGAGGCCACCCCACTTATAAGTGCCAGAGTTAGGATTCAAAATCAGTCCCACTGGCCCCAAAGCTCAGATGTCTTGTACTACACTGCACTTTCGCCAACCAGCTGCATATTATTGTCATCTCTGAAAGAGAGCTAAACCTAAGCAAGAGTGCTGCCATTGTTAACCTCAGCTGGCAGCACGTGCTCATTTTTTGCCACTTTGCATGGATCCACAAATGACTCCCAAACCTGGAGTATTTGTGGGTCACAAATAAATTTAAGCCACTAGGGGATTCAAAAATACAGAATCTGTGAATAATGAGGATTTTTTTTTACACAAATGTATTGAATTCTGTCCTCAAAAGAAATATAATATGTAATATTTATTAGTTATTTTTTACTGACAATTTGCAAACTTCAAGTGGTCTGAGAAGCAGTGTGACATAGTTGTTAGGCACAGAAATCCTGAAGTCAGATTACTGGGCTACAAAAGCCATCTTGGCAGCTTCTCTGAGAAAATGGGCAAGAGATTGTAAGAGAGATAATATTAAGCCTACCTCATAGGAATTTGGGAATATTAAGAAAATCAACCCATTACAGTACAAAATATGTGTAAAAGGCTTATAACTTTCCAGGGAAAACTGTAATCATTCTAAGTCATATACATTTTAAGTACTGTTGTCACTCTTATTAATTAGATAAATAGTATAATTTGCTAAAACTTGAAAAGTGAAATGAAATTTTTAATACATTCTTTGAAAGATCACAGAAATAAAGTAGCATTTTTATCTCATCATATCAAGAGTACTTATTATCAACATGATTAATAATGATGGTTTATGTTATCTGTGATCACCTGACTGAAGTGCTTGTTAGGTTTCTCCCCTCTAAAGTTACTCTTTTCCCCCCTCTACATATTGTATGCTTTGGGAGGAAGTCACTATGTGCACACCACACTTAAGAAAGAGATAATAATGTTCCCTCTCCTATAGGGTGAAGTAGCCACATAATTTATTTGGAACTCTGCACAGAGGAATTTTCTTTTCTACCCTAGTTGTTAGCTTATTCAATAATTTATTCACATCAGTATAGATTCATGGATATTTATTTTATTCTTTGAGTCACAATTCAATATGACTTGCTTTATTGCTCACATCTTTCACTTCACTCCCGTGCCCTTTGATTCCCACATTAACATGTTTTTTTAGCGCATCCTTAAATTCCTAGCGCTACAAGATATTCCTGCTTGAGGTTCATCTTGTATATTTCTTAACACAGTCCTAATCCTCAAATCACCGCCACTTCACCAAGGAGCCTTGGTTCCTCTTAGTGGCAAGTGGTATTAGAAACCAACTCATTGACTTCGGGGTATCATTTCTTTAGGCTCTCTCAGCTTATAGAGTGAATAAATCCATGTGTGTATTTTAACCCATACATAAACACATATCTATGATTACTTGATATCTAACTGTCTGTATCTATATTAGTTCTAATATAAATTCTTACTAATGACTCTAACCATAACCCATTAAATAATGAGTAATTCTAGCCTCCTCCCCTTGCTAATTTATAAATTTCCATTCGAACAGTGATAAACCTGCCTTCCACCATCCACCATCCATTTACTTAGTTATTGAAGTCAAGTATATATATATATATAAATATCAGATTGTTAACCCATGCCGTTGTGGGAAATGATCAGTTAGAGTATAGTGCTTATGTGCAGTTCCTTTTGCCTTTTGTTCACTTCCAAAATTACTTAGGTCAGTACCTTTTCCCTACCTGCTTCTGTGAGGATGTTTCATACATCTTTAATCAGATTATTTTGTGACAGTCTTCATTTTCCCTGTGACTTCCTGATTTCCTAAATGATTTTTAAAAAATCGTACATATTTAGTTTGACTTTTCATGTTGTAAAGTTATATGGGAATTGAAAAGGGCATAATTTCATACTCACTGTTATGTGTTGAATTGTGTCCCCCAACAAAACATGTTTCAGCCCTAAACCTCTAGTCCCTGAAAATGTAGTCTTACTTAGAGATAAAGTCTTTACACAAATATCGTCAAATTAAAATAAGGACTTCTGTCCTTAAAAATGGGAAATTTGGACATAGACACATATACAGAGAACATATGTGAAGATGAAGGCAGAAATTAGGGCGATAGATCTATAAACCAAAGAACAGAAAGATTTCTAGGAAACTCTCAGAAGCTAGGAGAGAGGCATGGAATGGGTTCTCCGTCACAACACTCACGAGGAACCAACACTGCCAATACCCTGATCTCAGACATCTAGCCTCCAGAACTTGAGAAAGTAAATTTCTGTTGCTCTAAGCTATCCTGTTTTATTTCTTATTATTTTGTTTTTAATAGCAGCCCTAGTAAATGAATACATCTACCATTACAGTATTTCAGAATAGTTTTACCATGCCCAAAATACCCTGTGCTTTACCTACTTATCTCTCATTCCCTCCTCTGCACCTTTGGTAACCACTAATCTTTTTAATGTCTTATAGACTGTGAAATGTATCTTTAAGTAACTCCTTAGATAATCATGGGCAACCACAGAAAGATAGAGAGAGATGAGGACAGAGAGGGAGAAAGACAAAGAATAAACACATCTACCTTTCAACTGTGACATTTAGGTATTTGTTAAATATTTTAGGAATAATTAAATTGAGGAACTAAGTAATATGAAAAGAACTGTCAGACCAAAGAATCCTTTCATTTGGCTGCATATGGAGTAACGTAAAATAATAGGTATTGCTGACAAAATAGTAAAAACTTAAATACAAAATAGATACAAAATGTATCAATTACAAAACTTAGTAATTATTTAGGTCAAATAAAACAGAGTAATTATCCTAAGTAATAATAAATTAATTGGGTAATTGAATTTGTAGAAAATGAAAACATCTGTTATTACCTTTTGCCTGCATCTGCAGGCGACATACAATTAGATTGAAGTTTGTTAACAAAGAATATAATGTGCAAAGCCTAAAAAATGTAAATGTAAAAATGTAATGTTTATTTATAAATGTGGATTTGGGATCAGCAAAACAGGTCAAAATATATTAACTTCTCTTAAAGCATGCATATACATAATAGAGAATAAATAATAAGGGAAAAAGATAACTTTACAATGATTATTAACTAAATGTTCACTTGTTTACTCCTCATTTTTCATGAATTATTCAGTGCAACATAGAGAAACACAACTTAAAGTTTAGTTATCAACTGATCACTTTCTAGAGGTAAATATTGCTTCCAGTGAGCCATCATCCTCAGCAAACTAACGCAGGATCAGAAAACAAAGCATGGCGTGTTCTCACTTATAAGTGGAAGCCGAACAATGAGAACACATGGATGCAGGGAGGGGAACAACACACACTGGGGCCTGTTGAGGGAGGGCAGGGGGATAGGGCGAGGGCATTAGGGAAAAGAGCTAATGCATGCTGGGCTTCATACCTAGGTGATGGGTTGATAGGTGTAGCAAACCACCATGGTACAAGTTTACCTACGTAACAATCCTGTACATCCTGCACATGTACCCCAGAACTTAAAAAGAAAAAAATTGCTTCCAGTGAAAACAAACTTAGAATAAAACAGAGGGAAATATGCTTTTGGTTTAATGATTCCACACAACTCATTGGGTTTTCACACACAGTTTACTACTTTGGGCTAGGCACGGTGGCTCACGCCTGTAAACCCAGTACTTTGGGAGGATCACATTGAGGCCAGGAGTTGGAGACAAGCCTAGCCAACACGGTGAAACCCCATCTCTACTAAAAACACAAAAATTAGCCAGTCGTGGTGGTGCACACCTGTAATCCCAGCTACTGGGGAGGCTGAGGCAGGAGGATCTCTTGAATATGTGAGGCAGAAGTTGCAGTGAGCCGAGATCGGCCACTGCATTCCAGCCTGGGTGACAGAGTGAGACTGCATCTCAAAAAACAAACAAACAAAAACAATTTACTATTTTGTTAGGGAATGAGCAGGTTTTATTGCAATCACATAGAGATTTCTTTTGTACTATAGCATGCAGCCTACTATATTACATTATAACTATGTGGGTATGGGTACGTGAAGAGGGGATAGGTATAATTTTTCTTCTCTGCTAGATAGTGAGATTTGAAAAAAGTAGGATGTTTGTAAACATAGTAGATGTTTGATAAACACATGCTTCTAACATTATTTTTCTTCTTAATCCAGGATTATTGAAGAAGTTGGAAATACAGAAAAATATACAGTGAAATATTTAAATAATTAGGAAGATTATAAACCAAAGTTAAGTGCTTCTATTTAATTTTTTAAATGTACACATGCCTATCTATCCATATGTAGCTATATATTTAAATACTTTGAATCAAATTCTTAGTCTTATTTTACTTAAATTATACATGCACATTTTGCAGTTATTAAAATTACTTAAATATACTTTTAATTATTATACCGTATATACTCTTATTTATGTAAATATTTTTACTTTTTTTTTTTTTTTTTTATAGAGACAAGTTTTACTATGTTGCCCAGGCTGGCCTCAAACTCCTGGGCTCCAATGATCCTCCCACCTCAGCCTCCTGAGTAGCTGGGACTACAGGAATACACAACCATGCCCAGCTTAATTAATACTTTAAATGTTTAACGTATATAATTTGATGATAAAAAATACAGACTTAGAGTCTACGAACATGTAACATTATTATAGACCTAGTAGGAGTTCCTGTTTGCTATGCTACATTACTTTTTGTAAGATATGTAAAGGCATATAAATATATTTTACAAATGGTAGGGCCAAAACTAGGGTGAGGTAAGCAAGGTGTCTCAGGCACAAAATTTCAGGAGGTCCTCACTCTCCATTGCAAATGCTGACCCTGACCTTCCATGAACCTGAGAGTGAATGTTTCATAAAAATTTGCACCAGGTGCCTTGTTTGCCTCACCCTAGTCCTGACCCTGACAAATGATAATCCTAAGTTTTTGAGTATCCTAAAAATATACTGTTTAAGATGTGTTATTATAGTCAATATATTCTGTTCCTAAAATCTAAGCACTAAATTAACAGTTTGAAGGCATTCTTTGTAAATAATTATTTCGCATTTGAAAATAATTTAGGATATTTAAATTATTTTTAAGATAATTTAAAAATTTTAAGATATTTCTGTGTATCTTATTTTAACCTGTAGGGGTAGAACAGTTTCTTCTACATTTTGGCACTGATTCTACCAAGTGTGTTCTTAATTTTAGGTCCTTCTGCTTGCACCCTCAATACTGTAACCATTAGACAAATGTCTTAGGTAGAATGATCAACACTCATTACCTTTACTTCTTAATCTGCCGCTAATTTCTAAATGTGAGTAATATCCAGTTCTCAAAACCAACATAAAATGTGCTGTCTTGTCTTTACCTTTCCTCTCTGCAACACTGGGCTGTTTGATGGTACCTCTTGCAATCCCATTCTTCTTGCCTGGCTTCTTTCTCTAAGGCAGTTCCATCAAGACTGTCTTTGTATCGCGAAGCCCACATCCTCTTAGTTTTTTGTTTGCTTGTTTGCTTTCCTATTTTGTTTATTTTGTGTTCATTTCTTTTGCTTTTCTTGTAGCAGCAATAGACATAGAGTGATATTTGAAATTGTGAAGTGGTATATTGAAAGGTTTTTTTGTGTGTGTGTGGGAGAAATACTTGGTAGTGAAAAGTGGAAAAAGTAAAGAAAAACTAGATGAACTAAGATTACAGAAAAATCTTTGGGAGGCCGAGGTGGGCGGATTATGAGGTCAGGAGATCAAGACCATCCTGGCTAACACGGTGAATCCCCATCTCTACTAAAAATAAAAATAAAAATAAAAATAAATTAGCCAGGTGTGGTGGCATTCGCCTGTAGTCCCAGCAGGAGAATGGTGTGAACCAGGGAGGCGGAGTTTGCAGTGAGCCAAGATCACACCACTGCACTCCAGCCTGGGCGACAGAGCGAGACTCCATCTCAGAAAGAAAAAAAGAAAAAGAAAAAAAAAAAGGTTACAGAAAATAAGGAATTACAGGATAAGAAGTGGATTTGGCAAAAGAAGTTCAGTTTGGGTGCAAGGACAGGTTGGAATTCTGGGGACCTAGATTTAATGGCTGGGTAGAAAATGGAAATCCCGAAACTGAGAAACTCCTGGTTGTTGATAACAGCTTATGAGTACAGGGAAAATGGATATTTCACTTGACATATATGAATCACTGGGTTTCTGACCTTTGAGATTTCAATTTCAGGGAAGGGATAGGAGAAAGAATCCAATGTAATGATTTAATGACAATGTATAACAAAAGGAAGCATTGAAGCATTGAATGACAATCTAATATGTCCAAGAAATTTGGTGATAAAGAATTTTAACTGGAGTCTGAATGGAAAGAAGCATTTTGTTCAATAATTGTTAAAATGTGACCATGTTTATATATCTTGTTGTAGATAGACATTTGACTATGGGTGCATCAAAAATAATTGATTGATACAGCTGAGAGTTTCCCTAATATTGCTTACTGGGCTTCTTAGGGGGTTCAATCAGCAATTACATAACTTTTCTGTAGTGTTTAAAATCATATAGACTTAACATGATGAAGATAGGAAATATGAAGTCAGTGGAATTAGGTGAGAGAAGTTGTGGGAACATGAGAGTGGCAGGAAAATATTCTGAGTTATCGCAGGTCCAAGTGGTGATCAGGTCAAGGAAGTGACTGTGCATGTGGGTTGTGAATGTTTGGAGTAGAAGACTCCTAGGAACTGTAAAGTGAAGGTGCCAGAAAAGGCATTAAAGTGAAGTGATGTGGTAAGTTCAACTGGGTTTGGCTGTGATAAAGAAGAATAACACATTCTTTCAGTGATGGAGTTTCACCTTTGATATTTTATGACGAATAACTAAGTAATACTATGTAGATCTGAATCATAAAATCATAAAGCTTTAAAACTGGAACCGATATTTGAGATAGATTTGTTGAACTGTCATAATTTTACAACTGACATGAAGAAAATGTAGATAATCAAAGGTCACATTGCAAATGAGTAACAAAGTTAAACCTATATAAACATAAGTAGCTAAGTACTTGTATACATGTAATTTATTTTAATTTCTGTAGTTTGCGGGTACAGGTTGTTATGGGTTACGTGGATAAGTTCTTTAGAGGTGATTCCTGAGATGCTGGTGAACCTGTCACCTGAACAGTGTACGCTGTATCAAATATGTAGTCTATGTTTTCAACTGTCTTTGTCTGATTTCAGTATCAGGGTAATATTACCTTTATAAAATGAATCAGGAAGTGTTCTCTCCTCTCTTTTTCTGCATGAAATTTTGTTGAATTGCTGTTAATTCTTTTTTAAACATTTCATTGAATTCTCCAGTAAAATCATCTGGGTCTGGATATATTTTTATGAAATTTTTAAAATTGTAAACTCTATTTATTTAACAGTTATAGGGCTATTAAAATTGCCTATTTCATATTGGATAAATTGCAGTAGTTTGTGTTTATTGAGTAATCGGCCTATTTCTTCCATGTTGTCTATGTGTGTAATACATAGTTTATGTGTGTAAAGTTGTTCATAATATTTTATTGTTATTCTCTTGATGTCTGCAGGTTCTATAGTCATATCCTGTTTCATCCCTGATGTTGATAATTTTTGTGTTTTCTCTCGATTTTTTTTGCCAGTTTTGCTAGAGGTTTGTCAATTTTATTGATCCTTTCAAAGAACCAGCTCTTTATTTCATTGATTTTTCTGTATTGCTATTTCTATTTTCAGTTTAATTTCAGTTTCTTTCAGTTTAATTTAGTTTAATTCTGCCCTTATCTTTACTAAGTTCTTCCTTCCTTTTCCTTTGGTTTTATATTAATCTTCTTCCAGGTTCTTGAGCTGAGAACTTAGATGATTAATTTCAGACTTTTCCTCTTTTCTAATAGCATTTAATGCTATAGATTTCCCTCTCAGCACTGTTTTATCTGTATTCCTCAAATTTGGTATGTTGTACTCTTATTTTCAGTCAGATCAATGTATTTTCAAAGTTTCCATTGGAACTCCTTCCTTGACTTATGAAAGAGTGCCTCTAAACCTTTCTGCCTTTTCTGGCACCTTCGCTTTAGAATTTTTAGGAGTCCTCTGCTCCAAACATTCACAACTCATATGCATAGTCACTTCTTTGACTTGATTATCACTTGGACCTGCTTTATTCCCATGATATGCAAATCAGAAGTGTAGAGGCACTTTTTTACACATTTGTGAGGTTTTAAGTTTATGTTCTTCACTGGGACTTAACTAATGTGGGCGGGCATGAAACCACATTTTTTTTTTTTTTCCCTGTGGTATTTGACCATAGTAGAGTGGCTATTGTCTAAAAGTCTTTTTGTCTTGCCAGACTGCCCCTTTCTAGGATATTTTTCTGTCAACCAAAAGTAAGTTGCTTATGGCCCTGTGATATGAAGGGGCTGAACATCAATATGTAAAAAGCTAACTGAGATGTTACATTACTATACTGAGAAGAAAAAAATATGTGCACTAAAATGAATTGTAATGGATCTTGAAACCCAGAAACTCATAGCTTTTGTTATCAAGTACTCAAATTCTTGAAGTACGAAGAGTATGAAAAGTACCAAAGGAATTAAGAAATCTGGTAGCTAGTCATATAGCAGATATTTTACTGTAGGACAAACCATTTAAGCTGTTGTTCATTTCAAGAAAGAAGGTATAATATTGGTTTATCTTCATGACATATTGATGCAATTCTACAATTCTGTAATTCTGTAATTTTGCACTTAAGGAGAAATTAATATTTTTCCCATTGAGCTTAATGAAATAAAAATAAATGTATTCATATTTAGTTGGGAAAAGAGCAATGTGATTTAGAAATAATTCAATATTACTCAATAAAAATTTACAGATGCATTTTCAATCAATGTACATTATAAATAAAATGCAATATTGCTAAACAGTGATATAATCTGTTAGCACAAATCAAAGCTTGCCTGTTTTAAGTAACTATAACTTTTACCTACTAATACATTATCAACTACCAAATGATTACCAATCCAATGAACACTGGAGTGCAAAGATAAAAAAAAAATTCAATTGAAAGGACAAATTCCAGATACTCAACACATGAGATAAAACACTCTTCAGTTTTAGTAAGATATGATTCATTTAAATTACATGTATCCCATCAAAAAGTGGGCAAAGGACATGAATAGGCAATTCTCAAAAGAAGATGTACAAACTGCCAACAAACATATTAAAAAAATGTTCAGCATCACTAATTATCAGGGAAATGCAGATTAAAACCACTATAAGATACCACCTTACTCCTGGAAGAATGGTCACAATTAAAAAATCAAAAAATAATAGATGGTGGTGTGGATGTGGAGAAATGGGAACACTTCTACACTGCTGGTAGGAATGTAAACTAGTATAACCAATATGGAAAACAGCATGGAGATTCCTTAAAGAACCGCAAGTAGAACTACCATTTGATTCAGCAATCCCAGTGCTAGGCATCAAAGGAAAAGAAGTCATTATATGAAAAAGAGAAGGTAAATTTCTCCAGTAGCCCATTGTATCTACCTACATAAACTGTGGAACCATTACATATGTATATGCATACATATTGACTACTTATGCATTTGTATATACTTTTCTGAGACGTCAGGGAACCTTCTCAAATATGGAAGTTAAAACTGGAGACTAAAACTTTTTTGAATGGTAATTTTATAATCTTCAGAACATATGAATAAACATGGAGCTAAAAGTCATTATCCAAGATTAAAAAATAAATAGTATAATAAATATCATAATAACAATTCAATGCAATTTAATAAATAATGTTGTCTAAGCAATGGTAGCTCAAAATATAAATTTCTCTAAGATTACATCTTAGATGTGTGGTAGAAGCATTCATATTGGAACATGTACTCAATTTTTAATTAGTGTTTTGTCATAACTTAAATTGCATCACTTCAAGTTTTCTTTTCCTGTTACATCTGAAGGATTCACCTTGCTAAAATGATTTTTCAATTTTGAAAGCACTTTGTTTTCAAAATGTTTTGAAAGAATTAGGGTCATGTTAATAAATTATTTAGCCAATCTTAAAATGGCACCACTGAAATATTCTGGTAGACCCTCTTTTTACTTCCTGGAAATATCTTTTTTTGAGATGCATTGGCTCTTTCAGACAATCAAGTTGCTTTTTAATAAATGACTTCACAGAACATCTATTTCTATGCAACCCAGTGCAGATTGCTTCTCTTTACCATTTTTTAAGAAAGATCAGAAAAAAAATGATAAATAAATGAAATATTTCTATTTTCCCTGGTAAATTTGTTATATGCATATTTTACATAAGAGATGTATTTTGTATTCTGAGTTTTTTTGCTTTAATTAATGCATTTGCCTTATAAAGGCAGATACTATTCACGTGAGCAAAAGCTGATCCATAATTGTGTATGCTATCTAATCATTTTTATGGCATTGATTATCACAGGATTTGTGTACTGGACAAAGATCAATTTAAAGTAAATTCATGATAATGCTGTCATTATGTGGTTTGTAATATGCTTATTAAGTGGAATCAATTTTATGTCAAATCTTCACATCCAAAATATTTAAAGTACATACTGTAAAAACTTGATAAACTGTTCACCTGAAAATAAAATGATTATATTACGTAGAGTTTAGGAAGTACAAGAATAAGGAGAGTGTATAGGGTGGGATACATGTCAAGAGTCAGGAAAAGGAAGGGGAAAAAGAGATAAAGATGGTAGGCAGAAAATAGAATATTATACATAAATAGATTTAAACATAAAAATATTTTGACAAAAAATTGTATTGTTACTTCTTAGTTATGCCCTCTGTGTTTTACCAGTTGCTTTGGTATCTGTGATAAGGGTGTTAGAAGTCTGAAATCACTATTTGTACATGTGTAATACTCTCATCTCCTTATCTCCACCTTAATACCATCTCATTCTTTGTCCGTAAGGAATAACTTGAAAAGCTGTTTTGTGCATGGATGGAAATATATGTATGTGTGTATAAATACATTAAAAATTATATCACGAGTTCAGGAGACTGAGACCATCTTGGCCAACATGGTGAAATCCCGTCTCTACTAAAATACAAAACATTAGCCGAGCGTGGCGGCACATGCCTGTAATCCAAGCTACTTGGGAGGCTGAGGCAGGGGAATCGTTTGAACCCAGGAGGCGGAGGTTGCAGTGAGCTGACATTGTGCCACTGCACTCCAGCCTGGCGACAGAGCAAGACTGCGTCTCAAGAAAATAAATAAATATATATAAATATACACACAACAAGTGACTATGATTTAGCAATTGTAGCATTCAGAGGAAAAAAAAATATTGCTTCTTTCAGTTTGTGAATCTAGTAATTCCTTTTATAAAGAAGTAGCCCAAAGTCAGTCAGATGTTTCTGAGCCAGGTTTTTCTAAAGATTGTGTTATTATTCACTCTGGGAGATATGCTTTCATAAATAGTAAGCATAAAACTGTCACACAGATTTATTTGTGCTTCTGGCCTACGACAAAGCCACTGTGACCTCAGTGATAGTGTCAGACTCCCATCTTGATCAGCTTCAGAGTTCTTAAAATACAAAGAATTACTCAATCTGTTTTATATATGAATTTCCCAGGGACCTAGTTAAAATAGAAATTCTTGGGCCACTGCCTTTAAGATTTAGATTTATTATTTCTTGGGCTGAGCTCAGAAGTCTCTTTTTGATGAGCATTTCAGGTGATTCCAATGTAGCTTCTTTAAGGACATTTATTTGAGTAAAATGTAAATAAGCTTTCTGCTAACAAACTAGGTGGCTGCTTCTCTGGTAATGCCTACCGAAGTACCAGAAATTTCAGGGTTTTGTCAGCATTTGCAATCAGTTCGGACAACTCTCTGTAACCATAATCAAAATCATTCAATAATTTAGAATTTCTGAAGATGACAGAAATAATTAGTTAAAACTTACTGAGAATATGGTGTTTAATAATAAATGTATTGTCCTAGCACTTTGGGAGGCCGAGACGGGTGGATCATGAGGTCAGGAGTTCAAGACCAGACCAGCCTGACCAAGATGGTGAAACCCCGTCACTACTAAAAATCCAAAAATCAGCCAGGTGTGGCAGCGTGCGCCTGTAGTCCCAGCTACTTGGGAGGCTGAGGCAGAAGAATTGCTTGAACTTGGGAGGCGGAGGTTGCAGTGAGCCGAGATCGCACCACTGCACTCCAGCCTGGGTGACAGAGAGACACTCCATCAAAAAAAAAAAAAAAAAAAAAACTGTATTGATTATACATTTAACATCAATAATTGTTTATAATAAAACAATTGAGTATTATAATGCAATCCTTCGAACTCAGGTAATTGCTTGGCATTCTAAAATTATTATTATTTTTTTTCAAATTTGAAAGTTTGCTTTTTCCAGTGATTAATGAAATAATGCAGCACTGTTTGGGGATATTGTGTGCTCCTGTTTTGTTTCAAAGATATTAGCTCACCTTCAAAATGCTTGAAATATTTTCTTTGTTTTTATTTTTGGCAAATTCCATCATAAGTAGAATGATAGGAATACTAGCTTTATTGCTATGTAAGCTTAGGAAGGTGACATTGGAAGTGCCAATGCCATATTTTTCATTTCTTTCACTCCATTACCTGATGTAACGAACCAAAATACTCATTATTTGGTCTTTCCCTGTATTTATTCTTTTTAAAAAAAATCATGATAAAGATGTTAGCAATGCATATTGTAATATCTGGAATTATAGAAAGCAGAGATCCAAAAAGGTTTGGAAAATTCAAAGACTGATAGAAATTCAAGCTGGAAGAAAACTGAGTAAAAAATTACTTGTATTAGGGTTGAGAGAAAGAAAAGTACTGTTTCTCAAATGTGCTTGTGCTAGCAATCACCTGAGATAGTTGATAAAACATGCAGATTCAGTTGATCTTAAGTGTGCCCTTAAATCTCCATGTTTAACAAGTATACAGGCCTTCTTATGAACAGGTAAGTCTAGTAAACACTGAAACTGCATTAATAATATATTAGCTTGGTAAAGACATGTTTGTAAAAGGCTTCACAGCTTAATTAGGGAGAAGTTTATAACTCTGGACACCAACTATGGCTGTTATTCACAGTACATCTGCAGAATCTACAAACTTTTTAAATTCAACTTTATTTACAGTATAACTTACATGAAATAAAATGTACCCTTTTTAAGTATATATATCTTTGGATGGGTTTTGTCTCTATAAAGATCTAATAATGAAATAATTGGCACATATTAATGTTTTGAGAAAATATCTTAGTCTTTTAGAAATTGGAAATAATTATCTGTTTGATGTAAAACCACCATAGTAGCAGAAAGCCTCAGAGAATGGCTTTGGACACCTGCTGACAACTTCTAGTGGCTTAACTATTTTGATATTTATGAATGTCTTCATATCTGATTGCTTAGTTTGGTGTAAACAAATTATTTTCCATGAGGCTTTTACATACCTTTCTTTCAATGCTGAGTTGAAACTCCACATTTGAAGATATTATACTTAAAAGTATAACATCCAATAATTATATCATAGTTATTCTAATCTTGAAGAATATATAAAAGTTCTAAAAATTCTGGAAAAGGAGATAAAGACTATTGTAATGAGCATATTTATAAATCAGTCAGCATGCCTTTCTTTTATCTTATATTTGGAGAAAATATGAGTACTTTTGCCAATATGACAGAATGCTAGGCATTATTGCCTAGTTATTTCTGAAAATTTTGTAACTGCTGGACTTCAAAATCATTATTATTTTTTGGGGAGTTGGGGGGAAGGAATTTTGCACTTGTCACCCAGGCTGGAGTGCAGTGGTGCCATCTCCACTTCCTGCAATCTCCGCCTCCCAGGTTCAAGCGATTCTCCTGCCTCAGCCTCCTGAGTAGCTGGGATTATAGGCGCCTGCCACCACCTACAGATACTTTTTGTATTTTTATTAGAGACGGGGTTTCACCATGTTGACCAGGCTGGCTGCTAACTCCTGACTTCAGGTGATCCACCCACCTCAGCCTTCCAAAGTGCTGGGATTATAGGCGTGAGCCACCATGCCCGGCTACAATCATTTAGAATATTAAAGATATTGGCTGGGCGCGGTGGCTCACACCTGTAATCCCAGCACTTTGGGAGGCGGCGGCGGGCGGATCAGGAGGTCAGAAGATCGAGACTATGCTGGTCAACATGGTGAAACCCCATCTCTACTAAAATACAAAAAAAAAAAAAAAAAAAAAATTAGCCAGGTGTGGTGGCATGCACCTGTAGTCCCAGCTACTAGGGAGGCTGCGGCAGGAGAATCACTTAAACCTAGGAGGTGGAGGTTGCAGTGAGCCGAGATTGTGCCACTGCACTCCAGCCTGGTGACAGAGTGAAACTCTGTCAAAAAAAAAAAAAAAAAGATATTGTTGGATGTGTGTTGGCAACTGAATAGGTAATAGAGGGTAGACAGTTCTATTAAGCATCACAAAATTCATATTTTTCCTAAAAAGCATATTAAAACTAGAACACACCACTAACAATCCTGTAATTCATGGTTTCATTTCATTTATATTTGCTTAACAAATAAAATAACACCAATTGCATTAATACAATTAGATATTCTTCACCTATTGGTATTGTCAACTATTGTATAGGTTCAGTAGTTACAAACATGTTCCAACTTGATGACCAAGAATGCTCAGTAGATCTTGATTTTTTTAAAAACTGTATGCTTCCCAATTCTGTGCAATACTTGGAAGTAAGAAATGTATTTGGATGATTTATTTTGTCCTCGAATAAATGTCTATCAGGCATTCTGTAGTGTCATTTCATTTCGTAATCTTTTATTTTAAATATCTTTTACCTGAACAGAAATAATTCTTTCTACAGTTCACTACAACTGCTCTTTCTAAGAGTTTTTTTCTACTGTAGTCTTTAATAATGCTATTATGTTTCTTTATATATTGAGGAGGCTTTCAATCTATATTTCAGTAATTATATGTATAGAACCCTGCCATCTATTCCCTCTAATTTCTTCTCTTTATTCAAATAACTTTACATAAAATAACTATGATTTCTTATTAATGTTTATCTGTATGTAAATATGGCTGATTTTTTGGATAGTAGGAATAAAGTATAAAGTGACCGATAAACTTACTAATTGAGTGGGATGACAGTAAGGGAAAATGTCATAATGAAAGAGAAAATTTTAAACAGCAAAATTATTTAACAGCCTTGAATTTGGGTTTGGCATTGGTTGTGTTATATACTGGTACTCTAAATATGAGTTCTTAAAAAATCATTTTTATTAATTAGCATCCTTTTTCTTAGTCAAAGTGACTGACTTGCCAGTGTCTCCAACTAGAGTAATTCGAAAGATTATACTTTTCATACAGTATTAATAGTACTGTTTAATTTTGGGTAAATAAATATTTCCAACATTCCAAAAACAATTTGAAATCAAAGACAGCATAGGAGGTTCCAAGATGGTCAAATAGGAACAGCTCCAGTCTACAGCTCCCAGCATGAGCAGTGCAGAAGGTGGGTGATTTCTGCATTTCCAACTAAGGTACTGGGTTCATCTCACTGGGGCTTGTCGGACAGTGGGCGCAGCCCACGGAGCATGAGCTGAAGCAGGGCAGAGCATGGCCTTACCCGGGAAGCACAAGGGGTTGGGAATTCCCTTTCCTAGCCAAGGGAAGCCGTGACTGATGGTACCTGGAAAATCGAGACACTGCCACCCTAATACTGTGCTTTTCCAACAGTCTTAGCAAACAACACACTAGAAGATTATATTCCACACCTGGCTCAGAGGTTCCCACACCCACGGAGCCTTGCTCACTGCTAGCACAGCAGTCTGAGATCGATCTGCAAGGTGGCAGTGAGGCTGTGGGAGGGGTGTCCACCACTGCTGTGGCTTGAGTAGGTAAACAAAGTAGCCAGGAAGCTCGAACTGGGTGGAGTCCACCGCAGCTCAAGGAGGCCTGCCTGCCTCTGTAGATTCCACCTCTGGGGGCAGGGCATAGCTGAACAAAAGGCAGTAGAAACTTCTGCAGACTTAAACGTCCCTGTCTGACAGCTTTGAAGAGAGAGTGGTTCTCCCAGCACGGAGTTTGAGATCTGAGAATGGACACACTGCCTCCTCAAGTGGGTCCCTGACGCCTGAATAGCCTAACTGGGAGACACCTCCCAGTAGGGGCCGACTGACACTTCATATGGCCAGGTACCCCTCTGAGATGAAGCTTCCAGAGGAAGGATCAGGCAGCAACATTTACCACTCTGCAATATTTGCTGTTCTGCAGCCTCTGCTGGTGATACCTAGACAAACAGGGTCTGGAATGGACCTCCAGCAAACTCCAACAGACCTGCAGCTGAGGGTCCTGACTGTTAGAAGGAAAACTAACAAACAGAAAGGACATCCACACCAAAACCCCATTTGTACGTCACCATCATCAAAGACCAAAGGGAGATAAAACCTCAAAGATGGGGAGAAACCAGAGCAGAAAAGCTGAAAATCGTAAAAATCAGAGTACCTCTTCTCCTCCAAAGGAATGTAGTTCCTTGCCAGCAACAGAACAAAGCTGGATGGAGACTGATTTTGACGAGTTGAGAGAAGAAGTCTTCAGATGATTGATAATAACAAACTTCTCCGAGCTAAAGAAGGATGTTCGAACCCATCGCAAAGAAGCTAAAAACCTTGAAAAAAGATTAGACGAATGGCAAACTAGAATAAACAGCATCGAGAAGACCTTAAATTACCTGAAGGAGCTGAAAACCATGACACGACAACTACGAGATGCATGCACAAGCTTCAGTAGCCAATTCGATCAAGTAGAAGAAAGGGTATCAGTCATTGAAGATCAAATGAATGAAATGAAGCAAGAAGAGAAGTTTAGAGAAAAAAGAGTGAAAAGAAATGAACAAAGCCTCCAAGAAATATGGGACTATGTGAAAAGACCAAATCTACGTCTGATTGGTGTACCTGAAAGTGATGGTGAGAATGGAACCAAGTTGGAAAACACTCTTCAGGATATTATCCAGGAGAACCTCCCCAACCTAGCAAGGCAGGCCAACATTCAAATTCAGGAAATACAGAGAATGCCACAAAGATACTCCTCGAGAAGAGCTACTCCAAGACACATAATTGTCAGATTCACCAAAGTTGAAATGAAGGAAAAAATGTTAAGGGCAGCCACAGATAAAGGTCGGGTTACCCACAAAGGGAAACCCATCAGACTAACAGCTGATCTCTCAGCAGAAACTCTACAAGCCAGAAGAAAGTGGGGGCCAATATTCAACAAGCTTAAAGAAAAGACTTTTCAACCCAGAATTTCATATCCAGCCAAACTAAGCTTCATAAGTGAAGGAGAAATAAAATCCTTTACAGATGAGTAAATGCTGAGAGATTTTGTCACCACCAGGCCTGCCGTACAAGAGCTCCTGAAGGAAGCACTAAATATGGAAAGGAACAACTGGTACCAGCCACTGCAAAAACATGCCAAATTGTAAAGACCATCAATGCTAGGAAGAAACTGCATCAGCTAATGAGCAAAATAACCAGCTAACATCACAATGACAGGATCAAATTCACACATAACAATATTAACCTTAAATGTAAGTGGGATAAATGCTCCAATTAAAAGACACAGACTGGAAAATTGGATAAAGAGTCAAGACCCATCAGTGTGCTGTATTCAGGAGACCCATTTCACATGCAGAGACACACATAGGCTCAAAATAAAGGGATGGAGGAAGATCTTCCAAGCAAATGGAAAACAAAAAAACCAGGGGTTGCAATCATAGTCTGTGATAAAACAGACTTTAATCCAAAAACTATCAAAAGAGACAAGGCTATTACATAATGGTAAAGGGATCAATTCAACAAGAAGAGCTAACTATAGTAAATATATATACACCCAATACAGGAGCACCCAGATTTATAAAGCAAGTCCTTAGACACCTACAAAGAGAATTAGACTCACACACAATAATAATGGGAGACTTTAACACCCCACTGTCAACATTAGACAGATCAATGAGACAGAAAGTTAACAAGGATATCCAGGAATTGAACTCAGCTCTGCACCAAGCAGACCTAATAGACATCTACAGAACTCTGCACCCCAAATCAACAGAATATACATTCTTCTTGGCACTACATTACTTCAATTCCAAAACTGACCACATAGTTGGAAGTAAACCACTCCTAAGCAAATGTAAAAGAACAGAAATTATAAAAACCTGTCTCTCACACCACAGTGCAATCAAACTAGAACACAGGATTAAGAAACTCCCTCAAAACTGCTCAACTACATGGAAACTGAAAAACCTGTTCCTGAATGACTACTGGGTACATAATGAAATGAAGGCAGTAATAAAGATGTTCTTTGAAACTAAACAAAGACACAACATACAAGAATCTTTTGGAAACATTTAAAGCAATGTATAGAGGGAAATTTATAGCACTAAATGCCCACAAGAGAAAGCAAGAAAGATCTAAAATTGACACCCTAAGACACAATTAAAAGAACTAGAGAAGCAACAGCAAACACATTCAAAAGCTAGCAGAAGGCAAGAAATAACTAAGAGCAGAGTAGAACTGAAGGAGATAGAGACACACAAAAAACTTCAAAAAATCAATGAATCCAGAAGCTGGTTTGTTGAAAAGATCAACAAAATTGATAGACTGCTAGCAAGACTAATAAAGAAGAAAAGAGAGAAGAATCAAATAGACACAATAAAAAAAATGATAAAGGGGATATCACCACTGATCCCACAGAAACACAAACTACCAGCAGAGAATAATATAAACACCTCTACACAAATAAACTAGAAAATCTAGAAGAAATGGATAAATTCCTGGACACATACAACCTCCCAAGGCTAAACCAGGAAGAAGTTGAATCTCTAGACCAATAACAGACTCTGAAATTCAGGCAATAATTAGTAGCCTACCAACAAAAAGAAGTCCAGAACCAGATAGATTCACAGCCAAATTCTACTAGAAGTACAAAGAGGAACTGGTACCATTCCTTCTGAAACTATTCCAATCAATAGGAAAGAGGGAATCCTCCCTAACTCATTTTATGAGGCCAGCATCATCCTGATACCAAAGCCTGACAGAGACACAACAAAAAAAGAGAATTTTAGACGAATATCCCTGATGAACATCGATGCAAAAATCCTCAATGAAATACTGGCAAACCAAATCCAGCAGCACATCAA
The DNA here is from genome assembly GCF_000001405.40 of Homo sapiens. NCBI lineage: Eukaryota > Metazoa > Chordata > Mammalia > Primates > Hominidae > Homo > Homo sapiens. Next base: position 165,136,757 of record NC_000003.12, on the reverse strand, counting down.
AAAGCTTATCCACCATGATCAAGTCGGCTTCATCCCTGAGATGCAAGGCTGGTTCAACATATGAAAATCAATAAACGTAATCCATCATGTAAACAGAACCAACGACGAGAACTACATGATTATCTCAATAGATGCAGAAAAGGCCTTTGACAAAATTCAACAGCCCTTCGCGCTAAAAACACTCAAAAAATTAGTTATTGATGGGACGTATCTCAAAATAATAAGAGCGATTTATGACAAATCCACAGCCAAATGGGATTTGGGCAAAAATTGGAAGCAATCCCTTTGAAAACTGGCACAAGACAGGGATGCCCTTTCTCACCACTCCTACTCATCATAGTGTTGGAAGTTTTGGCCCGGTCAACCAGCAGGAGAAAGAAGTAAAGGGCATTCAATTAGGAAAAGAGGAAGTCAAATTGTCCCTTTTTGCAGATGACATGATTGTATATTTAGAAAACCCCATCGTCTCAGCCCAAAATCTCCTTAAGCTGATAAGCAACTTCAGCAAAGCCTCAGGATACAAAATCAATGTGCAAAAATCACAAGCATTCCTACACACCAATAATAGACAAACAGAGAGCCAAATCATGAGTGAACTCCCATTCACAATTGCTTCAAAGAGAATAATCCAACTTACAAGGGATGTGAAGGACCTCTTCAAGGAGAACTACAAATCACTGCTCCATGAAATAAAAAAGGACACTAACAAATGGAAGAACATTCCATGCTCATGTATAGGAAGAATCAATACCATGAAAATGGGCATACTGCCCAAGGTAATTTATAGATTCAATGCCATCCCCATCAAGCTACCAATGACTTTCTTCACAGAACTGGAAAAAACTACTTTAAAGTTCATATGAAACCAAAAAAGAGCTCGCATTGCCAAGTCAATCCTAACCCAAAAGAACAAACCTTGGGGGCATCACACTACCTGACTTCAGACTATACTACAAGGCTACAATAACCAAAACAGCAAAACAGTATCTCTGGTACCAAAACAGAGATATAGACCAATGGAACAGAACAGAGCCCTCAGAAATAATACCGGACATCTACACCATCTGATCTTTGACAAACCTGACAGAAACAAGAAATGGGGAAAGGATTCCCTATTTAATAAATGGTCCTGGGAAAACTGGCTAGCCATGTGCAGAAAGCTGAAACTAGATCCCTTCCTTACACCTTATACAAAAATGAATTCAAGGTGGATTAAAGACTTAAATGTAACCATAAAACCCTAGAAGAAAACCTAGGCAATACCATTCAGGACATAGGCATGGGCAAGGCCTTAATCACTAAAACACCAAAAGCAATGACAACAAAAGCCAAAATTCAGAAATGCAATCTAATTAAACTAAAGAGCTTCTGCACAGCAAAAGAGTGAACAGGCAACCTAAAGAATGGGAGAAAATTTTTACAATCTACCCATCTGACAAAGGGCTAATATCCAGAATCTACAAAGAACTTAAACAAATTTACAAGAAAAAGTCAAACAACCCCACCAAAAAGTGGGCGAAGGATATGAACAGACACTTCTCAAAATAAGACATTTATGTAGCCAACAGACCAATGAAAAAATGCTAGCCATCACTGGCCATCAGAGAAATGCAAATCAAAACCACAATGAGATACCATCTCTCACCAGTTAGAATGGCAATCATTAAAAAGTCAGGAAACAACAGGTGCTGGATAGGATGTGGAGAAACAGGAATGCTTTTACTCTGCTGATGAGACTGTAAACTAGTTCAGCCATTGTGGAAGACAGGGTGGTGATTCCTCAAGGATCTAGAATTAGAAATACCATTTGACCCAGCCATCCCATTACTGGGCATATACCCAAAGGATTATACATCATGTTGCTATAAAGACACATGCAGACTCATGTTTACTGCAGCACTATTCACAATAGCAAAGCCTTGGAACCAACCCAAATGTCCATCAATGATAGACTGGATTAAGAAAATGTGGCACATATACACCATGGAATACTATGCAACCATAAAAAAGGATGAGTTCATGTCCTTTGTAGGGGCATGGATGAAGCTGGATACCATCATTCTGAGCAAACTATTGCAAGCACAGAAAACCAAACACTGCATGTTTTCACTCATATGTGGGAATTGGACAATGAGAACACTTGGAAACAGGGTGGGGAACATCACACACTGGGGCCTGTCGTGGGGTGGGAGCATCAGGGAGGGATAGAATTAGGAGATATACTTAATGTAAATGAAGCGTTAATGGGTGCAGTACACCAATATGGCACATGTATACATATGTATCAAACCTGCATGTTGTGCACCTGTACCCTGGAACTTAAAGTATAATACAAAAAATAATAATAATAAAAAATAAATCAAAGACCACATAGAAAGGGACATATGCTCTCTCTCTCTCTCTTTTTTTTTTTTTTTTTTTTTTTTTGAGGCAGAGTCTTGCTCTGTTGCCCAGGCTGGAGTGCAGTGGCACGATCCCAGCTCACTGCAAGCTCCACCTCCCGGGTTCACGCCATTCTCCTGCCTCAGCCTCCCGAGTAGCTGTGATCACAGGCACTCTCCACTGTGCCCTGCTAATTTTTTTTTTTTTGTATTTTTTAGTAGACACCGGGTTTCACCATGTTAGCCAGGATGATCTCGATCTCCTGACGTCGTGATCCTCCTGCCTTGGCCTCCCAAAGTGCTAGGATTACAGTCATGAGCCACTGCGCTCAGCTAGAACATATGCTCTTAACCAAAACTAACATACATGTTGAAATTATTTCTAATCTGTGTTTTGCCATTTACCTTTATTCATTCTGAAGCTTAACTCCTACCCTCCCTCTCAAGAATCAAAGACAAAAATTAAATCCTCATTATTTTAATGTTTAAATTATTTTGCTCAATACTACTCTTTAAAAAGAGAGACAGGAAAGGTGTATTATGAAAATGAGCAATAAGATATTTCAGCTTTTACAGCTGTAAGACAATGAAAGGTTAATAAGAAACTCTAAAGTCAACATAGTGAAAATTCCCCAATGTATTTAAAACTCTTAAGTTATGTAATGACTACAAAGTTCATGTTCAGACAATTTAAGTAAATGTTTGTGTGTATTTGTCCCTTGACAATGCTATCAAGGAAATTCTGTTTGAGAATGTACTCTGTAATGTGAATAGGTTATAAAATCAAATAACAGATCTAGTCTTTTCTGTCTATAACAGAGTGTATGTCTTGAAACAAAAGTTTAATCTTTCTGAGCCTCAGTGTTTTCATTGGCACTGCTAGGGGATAGGCACTAGTATTATCCTCATGTTATAAATTTCAAAACTGAAGCATAGATGAATTAAGCAACTTGTTAGGGATACAAAGCCAAGAAATACTGGAGTAAGAACTTGCTCAAGATTATATGATCAATGAATGTCAAAAGTGAGACTTGTGTACAGAGCTCATTCTGATTTTAGTTCTTTTGCACTAAGCAGCCTACCAAAGTGAATGCCTCATGAAGTTCAGCAGTAGTGAGAAGGAGAAGGCCCTGGAGACAATGACTGTATGTGTGCGTTTGTGTGTGTGGATATAAATACCTATGTATTGTGTGTGTGTTGATATATATACATATTGTGTGTGTGCATGTGTAATAGATTTTCAAATTTAATAACATGTACATGATGCATAATTCAAACATTACAGATGTCTTGTTCTTTCCCAGGAGACAATTAGCATTGTTAGTACCTTCCCAGAGACCATCTATACATTTACAGACACATATTTATATATACACACACACACACATATATACACACATATATATGTTATATGTAATGTATATGTGTAGACCATTTATATATTTACAAACATATGTATCTACACATTTACATACATATATACAGAGATCATTATACATTTACAGACATATATGTATGTATGTTACATATATAACATTAATGATATATGTAACCTAAATGATATATACTATGCACACTATGTTGCTTCTAACTTTTTTCTCTTAGAGGTCATATAAGCTACTACATATCCATCATTTTTCTAATTTATTTTATAATATTCTGTTTTATATATGTGCTATAATGTAACTAGTCACAAAGTAATGAACTTACAAATTCTTTCTAATTTTTGTTGTTATAAACAAAACTGCAGTGAGTAGATAACATTTTAATGTATGCAATTATGTACGTAGAAAGAAGACCTATGGGTGGGATTTCTGGGTCAACAAACATATATATTTTTAAATTTTAATGGATGTGCCATTCACCAACTTGACAGCAATTTCCTACCCAGATGCACATATGAGAAGGGCTGTTTTCCATACACTCTCCACTACAGTTTATCCAATCACTTTATTGCTCAAGAGTGAAACATGATCTGATGGCTTTAATTTTTATATCTCTTATTATTTATGTATCTTAGTCTGTTCACTTTCTAATATTTTTTTCTGGGTAATGTCAGTTCATATAATTTGCCATTTTAAAAATTAGACCATTGGTCTATTTATTATTGATTTGTAGGAGTTTATGTTAATTCTAGAATGTAAACTTTGGCATTTGATAAATATTATCAAAATGCTCTCAACTTATCATTTAAATTTCTCATTGTTTAAGATGTTTTGAACCAAAAAAGACCATTTACATTTCTATGTATTTAATTTGTCAGAATTTTCTCTCTATAGCTTCTGAGCTTTAAACATATTTAGATAAGATTCCTATTCAGTGTTTGCTTTAAAAAAAAGAGAATGAATAAAATAGTTTCTTTAGTTTTCTTCTAGTACTTTTATAGTTTTATTTTTTAATGTTAAAACTTTTAATTCATCTAGGATTTATTTTGGTGATGTAAAATCCAACATTATTTGTTTCTCCAAAACCTCCCAGTTTTTCCAACATTATTTGTTGAATAATATCTTTCTACAGATTTGAAATGCTAATTTTAAGGTCCAGAATTTTTAATAGTATTTATTAAGATATTTAAGGCTTGGTGTGGTGGTTCATGCCTGTAATCCCAGCACTTTGGGAGGCTGAGATGGGTGGATTACCTGAGGTCAGGAGTTAAAGCCCAGCCTGGCAAACATGGCAAAAACTTTTTGCTACTAAAAATACAAAAAAAATTAGCTAGGTGTGGTGGTGGGCACCTGTAATCCCAGCTACTCGAGAGGATGAGGCAGGAGAGTCACTTGAACCTGAGAGGCGGAGGTTGCAGCGGGCCAAGATTGTGCCACTGCACTCCAGCCTGGGTGATAAGAGCAAAACTCCATCTCAAAAAAAAAAAAAACATTTTAAAAAGTCATTTACCCTATTATTCATATTTGACATATATCAAGAAGACATTGTAATACTTCATAATCCTTAACTTAACTTGGAAGCAGTAATGGATTGGTTGGAACATATTTAATTGTTTACATAAGTGTCAATTGAATAGAATTTCTTTGTGAGATTTAGGTAATGATTAGGGATAAAGAGAAAGGGTAAACAATTCTAGACAACAAGAGTGAAAGAACAACTGACCATAAGAAATCTTAAAATATGCCATGGTTATACATCCACTCCTTAGAAATAATCCATATATTTTTAAAAATTATAACTTGTATTTAAGCTTATCTAAATATAGCTTATATTAAAATTTCTAGAGATGGGTGAGAGTCTTAGATATATTTAGGCTATACAAATACCTCTGGATATGCACTCATAATTGTGTTTGATTAATTAAAAAACTGCAAATTCCTTTCCATGTCTCCAGTCTCTATGGTCGAGAAATAAATGAAATATGTCTTACTTGACAAAATCCCTCATCAGAAACTAGTCTCTATTATGACATGTGCTTTCTGCATGTACACTCTCACAGTGAAGATAATGTATCCTTGTAAATAAAAATGACCTCATGAACTCTGGGACTTCAGCCCGGTACTTCAGATAGTTCTAAGGTGCTTGTTAATGCTGACATTGTGCATGATTTTATTATTTAAAATATATGATAGTCTAAACTTCAAAGTTATTAATGCTTTAATGCAAAGAGTATGGTCTTTGGAGATAGAAACCTCTGGCTCTTCAGCTGAATGTGGACATTAAACTTCCTCTTCTCCACCTGCAACTGTAGAATAATTGCTCCATTCATGTGTTTTTTTTTTATTTTTTTGAGGATAAAGTAAAATAATGAGAAAACATTACAGCACAGTGTTTTATATAAAAGTTTAGAAATGTTAACTCACTTTTTTTTTTTCTCCTTCACTGGAAACCATTTTTATTACATAATACTGGGTGTTTTACTTTACTTAAAAATTTTATTATCATAACTCTTCCAACACATTATTATAATTTCAAAGTTTTTATTTCTTGAAATCATTTTCATGGTACTTAATTTCTTATGTATTTTTTTTCTTCAAGAGCAAGATAATTTGAGAGAGGTGGGGTAACATGGCAGAATAGAAGGCTCCACCAGTTGTCACCCCTTCCCACAAGGACACCAATTAACAATAATCTACATGCATTAAGCACCTTCTTAAGAACCAAAAACCAGGCGAGCACTCACAGTACCTGGATTTAACTTTATTTCTCTGAAAGAGGCACTGAAAAGGTAGGAGAAACAATTCCGAATGGCCAACACCACTAATTTCCCATTCCTGGCAGCAGCAGCTTGGTGTGGAGAGCATGGGGAGAGGGAGAGCCAGCAATTATGAAGCATTGAACTCAGTGCAACCCTTTTTATAGCAGAAAGCAAATTAGCCCAATCTCATCTGATGCTTACCCACAGCAGGTACATTTAAACCAGCCCTAGCCAGAGGGGAATTGCTGATCCCAGTGGTGGGAACTTGAGTTTCTGCAAGCCTTGCCATTGGGCTAAAGGGCTTTAGGGCTCAAAAAAACCTTGAAAGGTACTCTAGGCCACAAGGACTGCAACACCTAGGTGAGCCCTATGACTGAACTGGGCCCAGAGACAGTGGACTGACGAAGGATGCGACCTACTGAGACCCCAGCTGGGGTGGCTAAGGGAGTGGTGGTATCATTCCTCCCAACCCCAGGTTACAAAGCTGTAGCTACAGAAGAGACCCCTTCATTCCACTTGAGAAGAGGAGAAAGAGGAGCAGGGAAGACTTTGTCTTGCAGTTTGGAAGCCACCTCAGCTGCAGCATAGGATATTGGTTAGAGTTATGAGGCCGCATTTCTAGGTCCTAGCTTCCAGAAATTTCTAGTCACACCCTTGTCCAGAAGCAATTCTGTTGCCTTGAAGGGAAGGACTCAGTCTTGGAAAGATTCATCACCTGCTATCTGAAGAGCCCTTGGGCCCTAAATAACTAGCAGTGATACCCAGGTACTACGTCAATGGCCTTAGGTGAGACACTGAGACTCGCTGGCCTCAGGTGAGACTCAGCACATTCCCAGCTGTGGTGACTGTAGGGTGAGACTGCTTCCACTTCAGAAAAGTGAAGGGAATAGTAAAGGGGACTTTGTCTTGCAGTTAGGTACCAGCTCAGCCATGGGGGGATAGAGCACCAACTGGGCTCTTGGGGTCCCCAATTCCAGAACTTGGCTCTTTCTTGGCATTTCTGGATCTGTCTTGGGCCAGAAGGGAGCCAGCTTCCCTGAAGAGTGAGTCCCAGGCCAGACAGCATTCACAACAGCTGACTTAAGAGCCCTTGGGCTTTAAGGAAACATTGGTGGTGGTGGTGGTGGTGGCTACCAGGTAAGGCTTCTCTGTCTTTGGAAATGGGAGAGAATAGTGGGAAGGACTGTGTCTTGTGGTTTGAGTGCCAACTCGGCCACAGTACAATAGAATACCAGGTGAAACTTCTGAAGTTTTTTACTACCTCTGCTCAGAGCCTGGGGGAACTCACTGCCCTTAAGGGAATGACATAGGCCTGGTTGCCCTTGTCACCTGCTGATTTTAGAGCCCTGTGGCTTTGAGTGAACATAAGTGGTAGCCAGGGAGAGATAGCAGGCTTTTGGCCAGACCAAGTGCCAAATTGGCTTCAGTTCTGATCCAGCACAGTCCTAGGGGTGGTGGCCATAGGGGTTTTTGTGTCATTTCACCCCCAGCTCCCGGTGGCTCAGAGACCATAGAGAGACTGTTTGTTTGGGAGAAAGTAAATAAAGAGTACAAAAGTCTCTTCCCAGTAATCCAGAGCATTCTGGATCTTGTCCAAGACCATCAAGTCAGTACCTCTAAGAGTCTGCAAGAACCACAGTGCTACCAGATTTGGGGTCATCCCCTAGAGAAGATACAGCTTAGATTACAATACCTAAGTCCTCTCAAATATCTGCAAATTTTTTCCCAAGAAGCCCAGACTGAGAAGACGACATTAAATATGTAACTCTTTAATGCCCATACAAGGGTAAGATAACTTTACAAAATGATGTAGAATGTCAAAATACTTTAAGTAACTGATTTTCAATCACTATGCAAATTTTCAAAATAAAAAATCAACAAAAGATAGAGTCATATAACATTTACATTTTCAGTGGTTAAATAACTTTTTTGAATCTGCCCATTTTCCTTTCTGTTTTGAATACTATTATTCCTGCATGTCTATGTTATATGACTCTTGGTCATTTGCCTTTGTGGGTTTCTCTTCTTTTGGCTGTTCCTCTTAAAGTTATTTTGCTATTAGTGGTATTCGAAAAGATATAGGCTCATGACGTCTCAAAAACAATTAACTTGGGCTTGCTGCCATTAATTTGAGTGTTGATGTTGTTATAATAATAGAACGGACATGGTCCAGATCAATAGCATGTCTTAATACTTTTTCTCTCCATTTTATACCTCGAAGTGATCGAAAATACTAAAAAGATTTTAATCTGACTTAAATGCAAATTATTATTTCTTGCTTAATGCAGAAAATATTTAAATATTATTTATCGCTGAAAAACACATGTAGAATGAGATATAATTTAAATTTACATCTCCCCACATTCAGCTTTTTTGTAGCTTTTTGTTTTCCCTTATGTCCTGAGGCTAACCTTGAAACCAAGAAAATGACAGTTTAAAGAAATGAATATACTATTTATTTGCATAATGGGTTTTCATCCTTGATATTTGAGGTTAGAATTTAGGGACAAGAGGTAGTTTTGTATGATTGAAATTTTCCTATTATATAGTCCCCATCAATAAATCTGATTTGCTGATCTCTGTTCTTGCCATAATCTGCATGCTCAATCTTTCTTTCTATTATTATCCTAGTCACATCTGATCCACATCTGTGGTCTTCCTAATCCATAAAGTGTTCAAGCAATAGTAATCATCTTATTCAATATCTATTCCTGTCTGCATTCCTCAGTCATCCTAACTGCAAAACTTGACATAATGATTAGCAGGCATCAGTGGGCATATTATCAGTATAGTGATAGAATAGAGAGAAAGGAAAGAGGTTAGTGAGCTAGAAAGGATAACTACATTCTTTTAAAGGAAAGAGTCATGGAAATAAGAACAGGAGCGGGGGGAGAAGCTAAGGTATCTGAGATTATTTTGTTTACCTCATATAGGTGGATCTAAAATGATTATTTTAAAATGCTATTTGGAAATGTATGCAAATACAGATTGCATACAAATAAGAATTTCATAGTTTTAGACCCAAAATTTTATTTTGGTAGCCAAGAACAGGAAGAATTGAAAAGTAATATTTATCAGAGATGGGAAAATTAGATCTCATGAAATGACAGAGCTTTCATTAAAATGGGTTTATTATATAGATGAGAAAACTGAGGTGAATATCAAATGACTTGCTTAGACTCAAATTTAAGTATTCAGTAGCTAGGCAAGATCTCCTGTGTCCCAGACCAATGTTTAGTCTGCTGAATAAGATCACCAATTGTCATGGGTATGAAGTAGAGTGATGTTAACCATCCCAGGTTTTTAATGGTTTCAGAAATAAAAACAGAGAAAAAGCAACAAACGAGTGAACCTTACAATTCCTAAGTGTTATATATAATATGAAGAAAGCAATTAATATCCTGCTTAGAGATTAATCATCCTCATTTAACAGATATTTATTGAGCACCTACTATGTCAAGAGCTTCATACAATCTTCTTCTAAAATCATTGTCAAAAGCCACTTACATATTTTGTTTTTTTAATTGCCTTTTTATTATTTTAGCCAAAGATTAAACTTTTTTATAAGTTTTGTTATTTAAGACATTATCTTTTTAATCCAAATCCAGGAAAAGTTCAACAATATAAGAAAATTAGTTATAATCTACTCTATTTTGGTTGGTTATCTTTTTCCTAACTGATTAATCTTTTGATATTTCTAGTAAAGTTTGAGTGGTTTTGATTTGTTTTCATTTGGCCTATCAGATTTTTAAATATACAATAGTACTCATTTTCTAAATATAGTCATGCACTGCATAACGACGTTTCCGTCAACCATGGACCACATATACAACGGTGTTCCCATAAGATTATGATAGAGCTCAAAAATTATTCTTGCCTAGTGACATCATAGCTATTGCAAAGCATTATTTACACATTTATGATGATGCTGGTATAAACAAACCTACTGTGCTGTCGGTCTTATGAAAATATACTGCATGCAATTACCTACAGTTCATAATAATAATAATAATAATAAACATCTATGTTACTGGTTTATATATTTACCAGTCTATATTTTGTATACTTTTGCTAGTGTGTATTTCTTCTATTTATAATAAAAAAAGTAGTTCAGTGTAAAACAATATGCTGCATTAGGCCAGCAGCAGTCTCATACATTTTGTGTTTATTTTGTCTGTTGATTGCATCATTTTCTCTTGTACTTGATCAAATCTCATGTGGTTTTGCTCATCATGGCCTCTAAGCATACAAAATCCACTGCTAATGTTGCCAGTAAGAAGCCACATTGAATCATTCACCTGAACAGGAAATTAAAAGTGATTAAGGACTACAAAGGTAGAAAATCAATGATGATTATTGCTCACCAGTCATACATGTTCCTGCCTAACATAGCTATGATCTTGAAGAACACAGTAACAAAAGCTTTTAAAGGATATGATTCATTGAAGGCAATGGGATAAACAAAAATTTTAAAAGTGCTTATATCAGATATGGAGAAACTTCTAATGACCTGGATCAAAGACCGGACACAGAAGTGTATCACCCTCAGCACAATGATGATCACAGCCAAAGCAAAAAGTTTCTTTGCAATATAAAAAGAAAAGGCTGGACTTGACTATGATGTTGAATTTACTGCTAGCTCTGAGTGGCTTAAAGGATTTAAGAATCATTATTTTTACATAATGTGAAAATGAGTGGTAAGTCTATAAGTGCTGATGTGAAAGCAGCTGAAGAATTTTGGGAAACTGTACATAAGCTGATTGTGGAGGAAAATTACTTGCCAGAGCAAATCTTCAATATGAATGAAACCTCCCTATTCTGGAAACAGATGCCTGAAAGAACTTTCATCTACAATGAAGTGTCATCAATGCCAGGTGTGAAGGCTTTTAAGGACAGGAAAACAGCCTTGCTTGGGGGCAATATTGCAGGCTACAAATTAAAACCTTTTGTGATCTGGCACCATAGGGACTCCCGGGCCTTCAAGCATATTAATAAGTGCACACTGATAGTGAACTACAGAAACAGTATGAAGTTACATATTATCCAGTTCCCCTTCCAAGATACCCTCTGGAACTGCTATGCAAGCAAAATGGAGAAGTGCTTTGTAAAAAATGACATACCTTTCAAAATTGTGTTTATTGTTCATAATGCTCCCGCACATCCTCCTTTTATAGGTGATTTTCTTCCTAATATTAAAGAGGTGCTTTTTTTCTCCAAACACCATCTCTTTGGTCCAACCAATGGAACAAGGAGTTACAGCAGCTTTTCTTCTTCCTTTTAGATTTTAATATTTTTATAGAAAATTGTATAGAAAGTGGATTTGGTTGGTCTGGTTGGAATGTGCGAATGATTGCTATGCATGTACATAGACATTAGTTATTGCAGATGGACCAGTTGGTGGTAAATTATTACATTTGTATACAGTTTTGGAATTGAAATGTTTAAAGTCATTTCTCTTAGTTTTTATTAGATAATTATAGCTACCAAGAAAATTGTAGTAGGTGAAAATCACCACCTTCTGAGATCTTAGAACGCTAGAATATTAAATTGTCATTGCCCTCAGATTGACAGCAAAGTAAAATATTTGAACAAAAGTGTACTTGTTTTTGTTTTTGTGTTTGTTTGTGTTTTTTCTTGCAATCATGCTGTATTTTCTTAATCTTTTTAAATTTCAACTTTCATTTTAGATAAAGGGAGTACATATGCAGATTTTTTTACAAGGGTGTATTGCATCCAGGTGGTGAACATACTACCTAATACGTAGTTTTTCAATCCATTCCCTCTTTCTTCCCTCTTCCCTGTAGTAGTCTGCAGTGTTTTGTATTCCCATGTTTATGTACATGTGTACTTAATGTTCAGCTCCTACTTATAAGTGAGAACATGTGGTATTTGGTTTTCTGTTCCTGAATTAATTTGCTTAGGATTATGGTCTCCATCTGTAAATGGTATGATTTCATTTTTTATGGCTGCTGAGTTATCCATGGTGTATACGTATCACATTTTCTTTCTTTTCTTTTCATTTTTTTTTTTTTTTTTTTTTATTTCTGAGACAGAGTCACTCTGTCGCCCAGGCTGGAGTGCAGTGGTGCAATCTCGGCTCACTGCAAGCTCCACCTCCTGGGTTCATGCCATTCTCCTGCCTCAGCCTCCCGAGTAGCTGGGACTACAGGCACCTGCCACCACACCTGGCTAATTTTTTTTATTTTTAGTAGAGCCGGGGTTTCACCATGTTAGCCAGGATGGTCTCGATCTCCTGACCTTGCGATCTGCCTGCCTCTGCCTCCCAAAGTTCTGGGACTACAGGAGTGAGCAACTGCTCCGGGCCATACATATCACATTTTCTTTATTCAATCCACCACTGATGGGCACCTAGGTTGATGTCATGTCTCTTTGCTACTCTGAATATTGCAGCATTGAACATAGAAGTACATGTACCTTCTGGATATAATGATATATTTTCTTTTGGGTATGTACCCAGTAATGGGATTTCTGGGTTAAATGATGGCTGTGTCTTAAGTTATTTGAGAAATCTCCAGACTGCTTTCATCCGTCTGAAATAATTTACATTCCCACCAACAGTGTATAAACATTCCCTTTCTCTGCAGGTTTGCCATTCTCTGTTTTTTGACTTTTTAATAATAGCCATTATGACTAGTGTGAAATGTCTTGTGGCTTTATTTGCATTTCTCTGATAGTTAGTGATGGTGAGCATTTTTTTTTCATATATTTGTTGACCATACAGCAGCTTTTAAGGTCTAACATCTGAGAAGAACATTGGCCAGGCTATTGCTGCAACTGAGGGGGATACTGAGAATATATTGATAGAATTCTGGAAGGATTACATCTATAAGTATATAAAGAACATTGCTCAGGCTTGGTGATGTCACCGAGGAGTATGTGAATAGTGTCTGGAGGAAGACACTCAGGAGGTTCATCCATGACTTCATGAATCCCCATGAAAATTCACAGCTAAGAATTTATGAAAGTGTGTGCAGATCTCATCAAGCTCCCTAAAATTGTAAAAACATACCATAACATCAAAAGGTTTTCATTAACAAAGAATAATGTTTATGTTGTATTATCTGATTAGAAACAAAGCTATAATGAAAAAGAGAAACAAACCAAGTAAACAACGAAGATGTTTCTGAAAAGAGTGAAACTTCCTCAAGAAGAGCCTCAGGTAGGTCCTTTAATAAGTATTCCAGAAGAAGGCACTGTTATCATAGGAGATGACGGCTCCATGGGTGTTATTGCCCTTATAGACCTTCCAGTGGGACAAGATGTAGAGGTAGAAGACAATGAAATTGATGATTCTGAGCATGTGTAGGCATAGAACAATGTGTAGGTTTGTGTTTCAGCTTTCAAACAAAAAGTTTTAAAGGTAAAAATAAAATTAAAAATAGAAAAAAGTCTGGTCCAAAGGTAGTGAGTTATCTCAATTGATTGTTCAGTCAGTTTCATGTCAAATTTTTTGTTCTGTGCTTTTCCACCTTCTCACTACAGCACTTGAAAAAATTTTTGAAAAGTCAAAGAGAAGCCAGGCATGGTGGCTCATGCCTGTAGTCCTAGCACTTTGGGAGGCCAAGGCAGGTGGATCACTTGCAGTCAGGAGTCCAAGACCAGCCTGGCCAACATGGTGAAACCTTGTCATTACTAAAAATAAAAAATTAGCAGGGCATGTTTGTGATTGCGTGTAATCCCAACTACTCAGGAGGCTGAGGCAGGAGAATAGCTTGAATCCAGGAGGAGGAGGTTGCTAGAAAACTGGTTTTCTGAAATATGAAAGTCAGAAAAAAGTAGGAGAAAAAGAACAAAATGGAATGAACAAAATCTCCAAGAAATATTGCATTATGTAAAGAGACTGAATCTATGACTCATTCATGTCTCTGAAAGAGATGCAGAGAATGAAAGAAACTTGAAAAACAAATTTCAGAATATCATCCATGACAATTTCCCCCAACCTAGCTACAGGCCAACATTCAAATTCTGAAAATGCAGAGAACCCAAGTAAGATACTCCACAGGAAAATCATCTCCAACACATATAATCATAGGATTCTCTAAGATTGACATGAAATTAAAAATATTAAAGGCAACTAGAGAGAAAGGTCAGACTACCTACCAAGGGGAGCCCATCAGACTAACAGCAGACCTCTCAGCAGAAACTATAGAAGCCAGAAGAGATTTGGGGGCAAATATTCAACATTCTTAATTGAAAGACATTCCAACCAAGAATTTCATATCCAGCCAAATTAAGCTTCATAAGCAAAGGAGAAATAAGATCCTTTCAGAAAAGTAAATGCTGAGGGAATTTGTTACCACCAGACCTGCCTACAAGAACTCCTGAAAGAAACACTAAATATGGAAAGGAAAGAGCATTATGAGCCAGTACAAAAGCACACTTAACTGGGCAGACCAGCCAACATCATGATGACAGAACCAAATCTATACATATGAATATTAACATTGAATGGAAACAAGCTAAATGCCCCAGTTAAAAGGCACAGAATAGCAAGCTAAATAAGGATCCAAGACCCATTGATATGCTGTCTTCAAGATATCCATCTCACATGCAATGACACCTTTAGTCTCAACACAAATGGTTGGAGAAAAGTTTACCAAGCAAATGGAAAACAGAAAAAAAAGCAAGGGTTAAAATATTTATTTCAGGCAAAGCAGTCTCTAAACCAACAAAGATAAGAAAAGATCAAAGAAGGGCATTACATAATGGTAAAGTTTCAATTCAACAACACCTAATTATTCTAAATGTATGTGCACCTAAAACAGGAGCACCTGGATCGATAAAGCAAGTTCTTAGAGACTTTCAAAGGGACATAGGCTCCCACACAACAATCGTGAGAGACATCAACATCCCTCTGAGTATTAGACAGATTATTAAGGCGGAAAATTAACAAAGATATTCAGTACCTGACTCAAAATTTGATCAAATGGACCTGATAGACATCTATAGTGCTTTCCATGCCATAAAAACAGAATATACATTCTTCTCATTGCCATGTGGCACATATTCTAAAATTGACCAAATATTTGGATCTATAACACTCCTCACCCAATGCAAAATAATTCAAATAATAAAAATCACTCTTAAACAACAGCACAATAAAATTAGAGATCAAGACCAAGAACATTGCTTAAAACCATACAATTACATGGAAATTGAATAATCGGTTCTTGAATGACTTTTGGATAAATAATGAAATTAAGGCAGACATCAAGAAGCTCCTTAAAACTAATTAGAATGAAGATAAAACATACTAGAATATCTGCGACACAGTTAAGGCAAAGTTAAGAGGGAAATCCCTAGCACTTAGTACCCATATCAAAAAGTTAGAAAGACCTTAATTTAATAACCTAACATCACAACTAAAAGAATTAGAGTACAAAGAGCAAACCAACCCCAAAGCTAGCAGAAGACAAGAAATAAACAAAATAAGAGCTGAACTGAAGGAGATTGAGATACAAAAAATTATTCAAAAGATCAACAAATCCAGAAGTTGTTACTTTCAAAAAATTAATAAAATAGATAGACTGCAGCTAGACTAATAAAGAAGAAATGGAAGAAGATCCAAATAAACACAATCAGAAATGACTAAGGGAATATTGCTTTGACCCAACAGAAATACAAATAACCATCAGATATTATTATGAATACTTCTATGCACTTAAAGTAGAAAATCTAGAAGATTTTCTTTAATAAATTGAATCCCAGAACAGATGAATAATGAGCTCCGAAATTGAATCAGTAATAAATATCCTACCACCACCAACAACAACAACAAAAAGCATGGGACCACACGGATCCACAGCCATATTCTACCATATGTACAAAGAAGAGCTGGTAGCACTCCTGCTGAAACTATTCCAAAAAATTGAGTAGAAGTAACTCCTTCCTAACTCATTCTATGAGGTCAGCAATACCCTGATACCAAAACCTGACAGAGAAACAACAAAAATAGAAAATGTCAAGCCAACATCCCTGATGAACATCAAAGCAAAAATACTCAACAAAATAGTGACAAACCAAATCCAGCAGCATATCAAAAAGCTTATCTACCATGATCAAGCAGGCTTCATATCCGGGATGCAAGGCTGGTTCAACATATGCAAATCCACAAACGTAATCCATCACGTGAACAGAAGTAAAGACTAAACCCACATGATTCAGTAGATGTAGAAAATGCTTTTGATAAAATTCAGACACTCTTTCATGTTAAAAGCTCTCAATAAACTGGGTATTAAAGGAACTTACCTCAAAGTAATAAGAGCCATCAATGACAAATCCACAGTCAACTTCGTGCTGAATGGGCCCAAACCAGAAGCATTCCTCTTGAAAACCAGCACAAGGGAAGGATGCTCTCTCTCTTACCACTCCTATTCAACATAGTATTGGAAGTCCTGGCCAGTGCAAGAGAAAGAAATATAGGGCATCCAAATAGGAAGAGAGGAAGTCAAATTATCCCTGTTTGCAGATGACAAAGTCCTATATCTAGAAAATTTCATAGTCTTGGCACAAAACTCCTTAAGCTGGTAAACAACTTCGGAGTCTCAAGATAAAAAACAGATGGACAAAAATCACTATTATACTTGCATGCCTATAAAAAAACAACAGTCAAGCCAAGAGCCAAATCACAAATGAACTGGCATTCACAATTGACACCAAAAGAATGAAATACCTAGGGATACAGCTAACCAGGGAGGTGATAGATCTCTACAAGAACTACAAATCACTGTTCAAAGAAATCAGAGTGGTCACAAACAAATGGAAACACATTCCATGCTCATGGATAGGAAGAATCAATATATTGTGAAAATGGTTATACTGCTCAAAGTAATTTATAGATTCAATGATATTCCCATAAACTACCATTGACATTAATCACAGAAGTAGGAGAAACTATTTTAAAATTCATATAAAACCAACAAAGGGCCTGGATAACCAAGAGAATCCTAAGCAAAAAGAATAAACCTGGAGGCATCATGCTACCCAACTTTAAATTTTCTGCAGGGCCACAGTAGACAAAACAGCATGGTACTGGTATAAACACAGACACATAGAACAATGGATCAGAAAAATAACCCATAAATAAGGTCACATACCTACTACAATCTCACCTTCAACAAAGTTGACAAAAATCAGCAATAGGGAAAGGACTCCTTCTTCAACAAATGATGCTGGGAAAACTGGCTAGCCATATGCTGAAGATTGTAATGGGACTCCTTCCTTACACCATATACAACCATCAACTCAAGATGGATTAAAAACTTAAATATATAACTCAAAACTATACAAATCCTGCAATACAACCTAGGCAATATACCAATCTGGACATAGAAACAGACAAAATTTCGTTCTAAAGATACCAAAAGCAATTGCAACAAAAGCAAAAATTGACAAATAGGATCAAATTAAAATGAAAGAGCTTCTGCAAAGCAAAAGAAACCATCATCAGAGTGAACAGACAACCTACAGAATGGGAGTAAATTTTTGCAATCTGTCCATCTGACAAAGGTTTATTATCCAGAATTATGAGAAATTTAACCAAATTTACAAGAATAAAAAACAAACAATCCCATTAAAACGTGAGCAAAGTACATAAACAGACACTTTTTCGAAAGAAGAGATACATACAACCAACAAGCAGATGAAAAACAGTTCAGTTTCACTGATCATTAAGAAAATGCAAATAAATACCACATTGAGATACCATCTCTCACCAGTGAGAATAGCTATTACTGAAAAATCAAAAAATAATAGGTGCTGGCAAGGTTGTGGAGAAAAATAAACACTTATACACTGTTAGTGTGGCTGTGAATTAGTTCAATAATTGTGGAAAACAGTGTGACCATTTCTCAAAGACCTAAAAACAAAACGACCATTAGACCAAGAAATTCCATTACTGGGTATATACCCAAAGGAATATAAACCATTCAACATAAACGCGCATGCAAGTATATGTTCATTGCAGTCCTATTCACAATAGCAAATACATGGAATCAACCTAAATGCCCATCAATGGTAGACTGGATAAAGAAAATGTGGTACATATGTACCATGGAGTACTATGCAGCCATAAAAAATGAGATCATGTACTTTGCAGGGATATGGATGGAGCTGGTGACCATTTTCTGTAGCAAACTAACACAGGAACAGAAAGTCAAATACTGCATACTCTCACTTATAAGTGGGAGCTAAATGATGAAAACACATGGACACATAGAGGGGGACAACAGACACTGGGGGCTATAGGAGGGTGGAGTGGAGGAGGGAGATGATAAGGAAAAATAACTAATGAATACTATGCTTAATACCTGGGTAACGAAATAATCTGTACAACAAACCCCCATGACAAAAATTTACCTAAATAACAAACCTGTACATGTACCCCTGAACTTAAAATAAAAGTTAAAACATAGAAGAAAGCTTATAGAATAAGGATATAAAGAAAGAAAATATTTTTGTATAACTAGATTGTGTTTTAAACCGTTATTACAAAAGTTATCATTTTTTAAAAAAATTTTGTTTATAAAGTAAAAAAGTTACAGTAAGCTGAGGTAAATCTATTATTGAAGAAAGATTTTTTTTTTTTACAAATTTAGTGTAGCCTAAGTGTACAGTGATTACAGAGTTTACAATAGTGTACAACAATGTCCTAGGCCTTCACATTCATTCACCACTCACTCACTGATTCACCCAGAACAACTTCCAGTCCTGCAAGCTCCATTTATTGTAAGTGCCCTAGACACATGACCATTTTAAAAATATTTTATGCATTATTTTATTGTATCTTTTCTATGTTTAGATACACAAATATTTACTATTTTGTTATAGTTGCCTACGCCACTGAGTATAGTAACATGATGTACAGGTTTGTAGTCTAAGAGCAATATACTATGCTATATAGCCTATATGTGCTATATTAGATTTTTGTAAGGCTGTATGACATAGGTTTGTGTAAGAACACTCTATGATGTCAACACAACAATGAAATCACCTGATGACACATTTTTCAGAATGTATGCACATACATGACTTGACTTTAAACATAGATCTTCAAGTTATAACCAGTTTATTTTTAGAAAATAATATAACCCTCTCCAAATCAACATTTTATTTGTTTGCAGCAAAAAGATAGTATTACCTACTTAAAATAGTTTTGCAATAATTAAATAAGAGAGTATGTGAACATGGAATGATATACAGATGGTCAAACACTAGTCTATTTTTCATATTTTTTAAAAAAAGAGAGATAAAACACAAATTACTAATACTAGAAATGGAAGGCAGGATGTCACTACAAATGCCATAGACATTAAAAGCATAGTAAGGGAATGTTATAACAATTGTATGCATATAAATTAGAATACTTAAATGGAATGCAACAAAACCATGAAATGCTTAACCACCCCCCCACTGATGAAATACATAAGCAGAATAATTCTACACTTTTACTACTTAAGATACTGGGATTGTAAATAATCATTCAAAAGGAAATTTTTTAGTCCTAGATATTTAAACTGGTGAATTCCATAAATCATTTATTCCAGAAAAATCATATAAATGATTATTCCCTAATTTTTTTTATGAGATCAGCATGATCTTAATGGTGAAACCTAATAAATATCGTACAAGAAAATAAACCACAAAAGAAACTTTTGGACTGAGACAATGGGGTTTTCTAGATATTGTCAAACAAAGACAATTTGACTTCCTAACTTTTAATTTGAATCCCATATATTTCTTTCTCTTGCCTGATTTCCCTGGATAGAACTTCCAGTACTATGTTGAACAGGAGTGATGAGAGAAGGCATCCTTGTCTTTTACCAGTTTTCAAGGGGGAATGCTTCCAGCTTTAGCCCATTCAGTATGATGTTGAGTGTCAGTTTGTCATAAATGGCTCTTATTATTTTGAGGTATGTTCCTTCAGTACCTTGTTTATTGAGAGTTTTTAACATAAAGTGATGTTGAATTCTATCAAAGGCCTTTTCTGTATAAATTGAGATAATCATGTGAGTTTTTTGTCTTTAGTTCTGTTTATGTGATGCATTAGGTTTATGGATTTGCATATGTTGAACCAGCCTTGCATCCTGGGTATGAAGCCTATTTGATCATGGTGGATTAGCTTTTTGATGTGCTGCTGGATTCAGTTTGCCAATATTTTACTGAGGATTTTTGCATTAATGTTCATCAGGGATATTGGCCTGAAGTTTTATTTTTTGTTGTTACATCTCTGCCAGGTTTTTGTATCAGGATGATGCTGGCCTCATAAAATGAGTTATGGAGGAGTCCCTCCTTTTCAACTGTCCCTACAAAGAGAATAAAATACCTAGGAATACAGCTAACAAGAAAAGCAAAGGACCTCTTCAAGGAGAACTACAAATCACTTCTCAGGGAAACCAGAGAGGACACAAACAAATGGAAAAGCATTCCATGCTCATAGATAGGAAGAATCAATATGGTAAAAATGGCCATACTATCCAAAGCAATTTATAGATTCAGTGCTATTCCCATTAAACTACCATTGACATTCTTCACAGAATTAGCAAAAAAAAAGTATTTTAAAATTCACATGTAAACAAAAAAGAGCCCAGATAGCCAAGACAATCCTAAGCAAAAACAATAAAGCTGGAGGCATTACGCTACCCAACTTCAAGCTATTCTTCAACCCTACAACAACCAAAATAGCATGGAACTGGTACAAAAAACAGACACATAGACCAATGGAACAGAATAGAGAGCTAAGGAATAAGACCACACATCTACAACTTCTGATCTTTGACAAACCTGACAAAAACAAGCAATGGAGAAAGGATTCCCTATTTAATAAATGGTGCTGGAAGAACTGGCTGGCCGTATGCAGAAAATTGATACTGGTCTCCTTCCTTATCAATTATCCAAAAAGTAAATTAAGATGGATTAAAGACTTCAATGTAAAACCTATAACTTTAAGTACTCTAGAAGAAAACCTAGGCAATACCATTCAGGACATAGGCACAGACAGAGATTTCATGACAAAAATAGCACAAGCAATTGCAGCAAAAGAAAAAATTGACAAATGGGACCTATTAAACTAAAGAGCTTCTGCACAGCAAAAGAAACTATTATCAGAACTTACAAACTCCAGAATGGGAGAAAATTTTTGCCATCTATTCATCTGACAAAGGTCTAAAATCCAGTGTCTATAAGAAACTTAAATACATTTATAAGAAAAAAAAGCACACAACCCCATTAAAAAATGAGCAAAGCACATGAACAGATACTTCTCAAAAGAAGACATTTATGCAGCCAACAAACATATGAAAAAAAGCTCAACATCACAGATCATAAGATAAATGCAAATCAAAACCACAATGAGATACCACCACACAGCAATCAGAATTATTACTGATACCAGAAAAATCATAGAAATAATTATTCCCTAATTTTTTTATGAGACCAGCTCGTGGTGGAAGAATAAATTAGTTCAACCATTGTGAAAGACAATGTGGTAATTCTTCAAAGATCTAAAGACAGAAATACCATTTGACCCAGCAATCCCATTACTGGGTATATACCCAAGGGAATTTAAATCATTCTATTATAAAGGTACATGCACGTATATGTTTATTGCAGCCCCATTCACAATAGCAAAGACATGGAATCAACCCAAATGCCCACAAATGGTAGACTGGATGAAGAAAATGTGGTACATATACACCATGGAATACTACACAGCCATTAAAAACAAATAAGATCATGTTTTTTGCAGGGACACGAATGAAGCTGAAAGCCATTATCCTCAGCAAACTATCCCAGGAACAGGAAACCAAACACTGCATGTTCTCACACTAAAGTGGGAGCTGAACAATGAGAACACATGGACACAATGAAGTGAACAACACACACTAGGGCCTGTCAGCAGGTTGTGAAAACATCAGGAAAAATAGCCAAAGCATGTGGGCTTAATACTTCGGTGATGTGTTGATAGGTGCAGCAAAGTACCATGGTACATGTTTTCCTGTGTAACAAACCTGCATATCCTGCACATGTACCCTGGAACTTAAAATAAAATATTTTTTAAATAAAATAATATCAAATTATAATTTTGAAGAATAAAAGAAAATAAATGTAAGACTAGTATCTACTATGAACAGAGAAATAAATCCTCAATAAAATGTTGGAAATTTGAATCTATCAATGAATACACTAAACAAATACAAAAACCTCAAAACTCTTCATCAAAGTGGGATTTATCTCACGGATGCAAGGCTGATTCAATATTCAAATGTCAATAACCCATTACATGATCATATAAAATGCATTTTATAATTCCATATCTATTTATAATAAAAATCTCTCAACAAATTTGAAATAGAAGGAAACTTTCTCAACCTAAGATTCTACAGCTAACGTCACCTTAATGTTGAAAGATTAAATGCTTTCTATGTTATATAAGTAACAAGGAAGAACAGGTACTCTGATCATTCTTATTTAACATTGTTCTGGAAGTTCTGACCAGTACAGTAGATACAGGAATAAAAAGCTATATGGATGGGAAAAAGAGGAATATAACTGCCTTATTTATAGATGACATATTATTATCCACCTAGAAAATCCCAAAGAATCTGTGATGGTTAGTTTAATGTGTACGCTTAGCTAGGCTAAATAGATTTGTACCTAACTTAAAAACTAATATAGATCTTATAGTAAAGGTGTTTTGTAGATGCGGTTAACATCTGCAATCAGTTTACTTAAATTTAGGGAGATCATTCTTGATAATGTGTATGGGCCTCATTCAATCATTTTAAAGGTGTTAAAAGTAAACTGAGGTTTCGCTGAGGAAAAAGAAGTTTTTCCTCAAGACTGCATCATCAACTCCTGCCCCCAAATTTCCAGTCTGGTGGCCTGTCCTACAAATTTTGGAATTGCCACCTTCCATCATCACATGAGCCACTCCCATAGATCTCTCTCTATATATATTCTAGTTATTTTGTTTCTATGGAAAACTTTGAATGATACAGAATCCAAAGCCAAACAAAACAAACAAGCAACAAACTCCTGGAACAAATCAGTGAATTTATCAAGGATACAGCATACAGGGTTAACAGACAAAAATTCAATACAAATTACAATAACTTCAAGAAATGAAATACTAAGGCACAGATCTAAGAAAACATGTAAAACATATACTTGTATAAATTATGAAATAATAATGAAATGAAAGAAAACCTAAATGCTTGGAGAGACATACTGTGTGCATGGATTGGATTTTTCATGCACTCAACATAGTATTTATGACAAATCTCCCCAAACGGACATGGAGATTTAGTGAAATTACAATTAACATCCCAGCAGGATTTTTGTTAATATAAACAAACTAATTCTAAAATTTTTATGAATAAGCAAAGGAACATTTCTAGTGGGAATGCTAAATGTTAAAGCCATTTTGGAAAATAGTTTGACAATTTCTTCTAAATTGAAACATACACTTACCATAAAACCCAGGAGTTCCACTCCCAGATATTTATCTTAGACACATGAGGACTTACGTTAGCCCAAAAAATTTGAACACAAATATTAATAGAAATTCTGTTTATAATTGCCAAAACCTAATTCAACAGGTGAATGGATAAACTGTGGTACATTATTTACAATGGAATATTACTTAGCAATACAAAGGAATAGGGTATTAGTCTATGCAACAATTTGAATAAATCTCAAAGTTATTATATGCTGGGTAAAAGATGCCAGTTTTATTTTTTTAACTTTTTGAGACAGGGTTTCACTGATACCCAGACTGGAGTGTAGCAGTGCTATCACGACTGTCTGACTGCAGCCTCTACCTCTGGGACTCAGGTGATCCTCCCACTTTGTCTTCCAAAAGTGTTAGGATTACAGGTGTAAGCCACCATGCCCTGCCAAAAATGGCAGTGTTAAAGGCTACCTAGTGTACCATTTAATTTAAATTGCATTCCTGAAAATACAAAACTATAAAGATTGAAAACAGATCGGCATTGGTCAAGGTTTAGGGCTAGGGAGAGATTTAATGACAAAAGAGCAGCACAAAAGAGTTTTTTGAGGTTTTTGGAATTGTTCTTATCTTGATTGCAGTTGTGGTTACAGAAATCTATACCTGTGCTAAACTCAGAAAAGCATACACCAATAAAAGGCAATTTTCATGTGTGTTAATTTTAAAAACACAAAATATTGTAATAATGCTATCCCCTGGTGCATGCAATCACCTTCTTACTCATTTCTCTACATAGCTCTTACTGTGTTCTAACACAGTATATAATATACTTATTTAATAGGTTAATTGTTGGTTGTCTATTACTTTACCATTAGAATCTAGGCTCCAAGTATAAGGACAGACATAGTTTTGTCCTTATACTTTTTTCTTCCTACTGATTTAGGCCTAGTAGCTGAAAAGGGCATTGCAAATAGCAGGATCTCAATAAAGAGTTGAATGAGTAAATGAAGTCATTTTAGAACATATTTAAAGAATGTTAAAATATCTGTATTTTAATTTAAAAAACATGCTTCATAGTTCGTTGAAAACTGGACTTTGTGTTCAAATATTTTCATCAAATATAATTGCAATAAAACAGATAATTTATTGGAGGAAAAGTTATTATTGTACCTTGATCCTCTTATCACAGTGAACTTTGTGTTGTAAGGCAATTTGTATTCTATCTTTCCTTCTTTTCTTAGTAGGAAGTTAGTTATAAAAATTACAAATGTCTTTTCAAAATGTTATATTGTACTAAAATGCATGAACTTAAAATATTTAATTGTAGTGTAGTGTACCAACAGTCATAGCAAGACAATTATGTTTTTTTCTCTTAGGCATATATAATTTTCTGAATTATAATGGTCAATATTTGATTGTTTTTCATATACAATCAAATAAACAAGGTTGAAGACACATTACCTTATTAAAATATTTCATTCTTATAAACAATATGCTGCTAATTGTAATTAAATAAGTGTAGTTAGGTTAGACTTTAGGTTTTAGGCTTAATGCAATAATTTTCTTTAGAGTTTCCATTCCTTTATTATTAAAGAACAGAAAAGGAAGTAACTTCCTTCTTCCTATCTAAAGCATGGTCCACGTTCATTACTTACTCTACCATCAGTGAAAAGTTTTGCCAAGTCTGTTGGTTACTATGAGAAAGGCATCGTTTACTAACTAGCATAATATTTCACTTTTTAACAGCTTGGTATCATACAGAAATTTCTCTCATCACAATAAGATAACTTAGAAATATTTTACTAACTAGTATTAAAACTTTGAAAACTTCACTAGTAAGCTTATTTTCTTTTTTTTTATTATTATACTTTAAGTTTTAGGGTACATGTACACATTGTGCAGGTTACATATGTATACATGTGCCATGCTGGTGCACTGCACCCACTAACTTGTCATCTAGCATTAGGTATATCTCCCAATGCTATCCCTCCCCCCTCCCCCCGCCCCACAACAGTCCCCAGAGTGTGATGTTCCCCTTCCTGTGTCCATGTGATCTCATTGTTCAATTCCCACCTATGAGTGAGAATATGCGGTGTCTGTTTTTTTGTTCTTGCGATAGTTTACTGAGAATGATGATTTCCAATTTCACCCATGTCCCTACAAAGGACATGAACTCATCATTTTTTACGGCTGCATAGTATTCCATGGTGTATATGTGCCACATTTTCTTAATCCAGTCTATCATTGTTGGACATTTGGGTTGGTTCCAAGTCTTTGCTATTGTGAATAATGCCGCAATAAACATACGTGTGCATGTGTCTTTATAGCAGCATGATTTATAGTCCTTTGGGTATATACCCAGTAATGGGATGGCTGGGTCAAATGGTATTTCCAGTTCTAGATCCCTGAGGAATCGCCACACTGACTTCCACAATGGTTGAACTAGTTTACAGTCCCACCAACAGTGTAAAAGTGTTCCTATTTCTCCACATCCTCTCCAGCACCTGTTGTTTCCTGACTTTTTAATGATTGCCATTCTAAATGGTGTGAGATGGTATCTCATAGTGGTTTTGATTTGCATTTCTCTGATGGCCAGTGATGGTGAGCATTTTTTCATGTGTTTTTTGGCTGCATAAATGTCTTCTTTTGAGAAGTGTCTGTTCATGTCCTTCGCCCACTTTTTGATGGGGTTGTTTGTTTTTTTCTTGTAAATTTGTTTGAGCTCATTGTAGATTCTGGATATTAGCCCTTTGTCAGATGAGTAGGTTGCAAAAATTTTCTCCCATTCTGTAGGTTGCCTGTTCACTCTGATGGTAGTTTCTTTTGCTGTGCAGAAGCTCTTCAGTTTAATTAGATCCCATTTGTCAATTTTGTCTTTTGTTGCCATTGCTTTTGGTGTTTTAGACATGAAGTCCTTGCCCATGCCTATGTCCTGAATGGTATTGCCTAGGTTTTCTTCTAGGTTTTTTATGGTTTTAGGTCTAACGTTTAAGCCTTTAATCAATCTTGAATTGATTTTTGTATAAGGTATAAGGAAGGGATCCAGTTTCAGCTTTCTACATATGGCTAGCCAGTTTTCCCAGCACCATTTATTAAATAGGGAATCCTTTCCCCATTGCTTGTTTTTCTCAGTTTTGTCAAAGATCAGATAGTTGTAGATATGTGGCGTTATTTCTGAGGGCTCTGTTCTGTTCCATAGATCTATATCTCTGTTTTGACATTAAGCTCTCCAGCATCAGTTTGCAAAACCTACCTCTGATTCTACCAGGCAATTTTGGTTATTCAGCTATAATTTATTCTTTCTAACTTTCTGGAAAGCATTTCTTAATATTTTTGAACAGATTCAATTCTATTTAATCCTTGCCACCTAGCATCAGGCTTTGTACATAGCGGCTGTTTGCCAAATGAAAGAAGAAATGCAATATATACATTCATCAATCAATAGCTTCCTTTTGCTCTCTTCCTAAAACCATGTTTTGTGATCATACTAGGTTACAAGGTAAGAATACTATACTACTACTACTAATAAAATGTTATGAAAAATAACTGCTTTTATTAATAGATTGCAATTTGTGAAGAACTGTCAGAATTTTGTTTAACTTATTATTATCTCTTACATGTTCATAAAAATTTTATGGGATATTTTTAAATGTCTGTTTATAACTATGGAATAAATTAAAATTATCTGTAACAGGTTGATGTACCCAGGTGTATCCTAGGTACTTCTGATGCCCTAGCACAGTGGTTCTGCAAGTGTGGTTGAGGGATTTTTAGGGTCTCAAGAACCAATCAGGAACTCCTCAGTTCAAAACTGTTTTCATAATAATACAAAGATATTATTTGCTTTTTTTATTCTCAATTTTTCATAAGTATATACAATGTGTAATGTAATAAATTAATAACAGGAATAAATATGAGAATCCAGCTATTGTTTAGTAAGCCAAATATTAAAGAGATTTGCCAAAATGCAAAGCAATAAAATTTTCCTCATTTTTAAATTTTTTTGAAAACATTTTTCCAGAAAATATTTATTTTAATGTGTGATGGGCTATTATCAATGCTTTTAAATGACATAATATTTTAAATTCTCATTTTAATGTGAAATATGGTAAATATTGATTTATAATATCCACATAAATAAAACCTCTTTAGGTACCTCACTACCTTTTAAGAGCATAGTGAAGTCCTGAAAGTAAGATATTTGAGGACCACTGATCCAGCTAATACAGGAAGCAAGCATAGAAGATCAGGGTAATATATATATAACAAATTATATACATAACTTCTTAATATCTCTAATATAAAATTGGTTTCTGTAATCTGGAGACAACAATAGAGCCTAAACCCAGAGGATGCTGTGAAATTTTCATTAAATGATTCATGTAAGTCTTTAGCAAATTGTCTAAAACAAAGTAGGGGGTCAGTAAATATTCTTAAAAATGAACTTCCTAAAAGTTCTGGATTTCAGTTTATACTTGAATTCTCAAGTAATTGCTTGGAAATATAATCATCTATCTTGTTTGTTATAAATAAAACACTACATATGTTAATGAAGTGGAGCACATTTAAAAATTAAGAGATATCCTACCTGGGGAGTATTCTACTTCTGCACAGAAGAGGATTTGTAGTTTCTGTCCATTTAGTTGAACTATGACACCACCACAGTGCTCCAATAATTGTAATCATATTGAGCTAATGTAGTAGAATTCTGCATTTTAAAGTAGTAAAAAATGGTTTTGAATCAGAATTTGTATGCATTTGTATTTATTTCATTTCAAATATAAATTACCCCTTGAAAATATGTTATTGCTATTTAATTTTTACAAAGAGAGGGTAGCAGCAAAATATTTCCTCAAGTAGTTGAATGCATTGACATTGGAAGATATGTATCAAATGCAAATTATTGTATTTCAATACAGTGTTAAGTTAAACTTTCTGATAATAATAAACTGATTTTTAGCTGCAATTCAAAGTTATCAGATGAAAAGAATGCTATAACAGGCGAACATGTGCCTTGTTCATATCATATCTGTATCATTTTACTTAAACCTATGGAAAATTAAAGGAAGTCTTAGATAACACATATGGTAACTTAAAGGAAGGTTTAGAATATATATCTGTTATTTCTTATTCAGCATTATACTTTGATCTATGTTGTTTTGTATTCTGAGTTTAGTAATATTACAGGCTTTGAAGAAATATTAACATTCCCCAAATTTCTACCTACATAATAGAGCGTGGCTGTGGAAACACCAGAAAATCTCAGTGTTACATTTTGGTATCATTTTACCAGCTTAAAAATTTGTTTAAACGGGATTATATTGATTTTTCTGGTTAATTCAGAAAGAATCAGTATCTTTATAACATTGAGTCTTTTGATATAGAAACAAAGTATAATTTTTGTATTAGAATATCATATTCACTTATTCCTATTTGCTAGAATTGTGATTTTTGGGAATCTGATATCAAGGAACTCAATGATATCTATGTTACTTGGTTCCCCAGAGTAACCCTGACAACTCTACTATGAAATTAAAATTTGATTGTGCTTCCTGAATATTGCCATGGTAGCCACTTATTTTTCTCCTTTTTGTTTTCTAATTTTTAAAATTCCAACTTTTGTTTCAGATGCAGGGGGTACATGTGCAGGTTTGTTACATGGGAATATTGCATAATGCTGAGGTTTAGGGAACAGATCCCATCACACAGGTAGTGAGCATAGTACCTAATAGGTAGTTGTTTTGACCCACATCTCTCTCCCTCCCTCCCCCTTCTAGGAGACTGCAGTGTCTATTGTTCCCATGTTTATGTCTATGTGTGTTCAATATTTAGCTCCACTTTTAAGTGAGAACAAGTGATATTTGGCTTTCTGTTCCTGTGTTAATCACTCCCAGTTACGGGGCCTTCTTGAAGGCCAGAACCTAAGTCCTAGTAGGACCTTTTGTGTTTTTCCGAATCTGCCTCCAGCTTGGCAAGATTTACAAACAGTATTACCAACTATTCACTAGTTTTCCAACTCTTGAGAGTGTCTTTAATCATGGGATAAAATATATGAGAACCCATGACCTCCCAGAACTTTGGAAGCCTAGAAACAGATGCATTTGATCATGACACAGACGACTATCTAATGGCCTACAGTAGCCAGGAAAACAAATATTAAGTGAACACTCCATATTCCTTATCTGCACCTATTTGTTTTAGTTTTATGTTGTTTATGTGTTTTGTTGAGTAGTTTTAGTTTCCTTTGGCTTAGCGTTGTTTGACATAATAAAAACATAAGTATGCTGTACAATTTACACAATGTACAATATTGTCTAACATTACATTTTGTTATATTTTTTAATGTGAATAAAATATTGCATCATATATGTATTGTAAATATTTTTTATTTTTATCTAATTTTTTATGTTATTTAACTTGTGCCTTTACACTTTTGTAAGATGTATGTACTGGAATAAAAATTAGACTACAGTATTCCAAACTCACCGCACACATACACACAAAACAAAACAAAAAACATATACTCCTGGATGAGGAGGGATTATAATTCTGAGAGATTTCTGGGCACCCCATTCTTACTAGCAGTTTCAAGTTCTCTGGAATCTGGATTTAGCGCAGGTAAATTTGACAGACAAAGTGAATTGGGTCAGTCTTCGAGCAAAAGTGGTTTGACAACTGAAGAGGTGTTCCAAAGAGCAGATTGGTATTTGGATGCAGACCTAGAAAAGAGAATGGGACCAGGTGGTGAGTGGAAACAGCTGTTTTGTGATATGGAGAATAAATGGTTAAATCGTATTTTTAGAATATTTTGTGTGTGTTGAGGAAAATAATTCTCATTAATCTCTCAATCTTCAAAAGTTCTGAAGTTGGAATTCTCAGTGTGTTTGTGTATGTGTAATTGTGTGTGTATATATATATATATATATGATTGTGTGTATGATTATGTGAATATGTATGTGTGTGTGTATTAAATACAACTCTATGCTGCTGCCAGCACCAAGGTAGCTTAGCTTATTCAGGTTATATAGTGTATATTAAAGATATATATTTAATAAAATTTACCACCATAAAAGACTATCATATTCGTGTTTTCTTATATGTCTTTGAGAATAGTACTAAAGTTTTCTTAAGTTAGGTCCTACATGTTACGTCACTTTATTTTAAATTTGGTTTTTTAATGAAGAATCTTTTCTAAATATTTATAGGAATTTATATTCCCATTATACTTTCTAAAATTACTGTTAATATTTTATTAGCATTATAGTCAACTATCACTATTAATTTTTTTGTTTCTACGTGTTTTCCTTGATTTCCTTGTATTTTTCATGTATATATTCATTTTATCTACAGTTAAAATCTCAGTAGAAGCTTTTCCCATGCTAATAACTTTGTTTTCTTTCTTCTATCTAACTGCTTACATTAGTAGGTCTAATTAACAGTGTTTAACTGTGGTGATAATGTCCTGGATAATGTTTATTTTCGTTTTTTATAACAGCATGTTGAAAGTCTCAAATTTCCCATGGATTTGCAATTTAGAGGGCTGGCTTTTATTACTGTTTCTTCTTTTTATTTTACTTTTAGCAGACTTATGTAGATATAACTTACATGTAACGGACAATATATTTATTATACAATTTATTAAGTTTTGATGTATACATATACCCATGAATATATCACCACAACCAAAAAAAGAATACTCCTATCACCCCAAAATTTCCTTATATACTTCTATAATCTTTCACTCTTTCTCTTACCCTTCTCCTTAGCACCCTTTGCTCTAGCAAAAAAATGATCTACTTTCTGTCACTAAAGACTAGTTTTCATTTTCTAGTATTTTATATAAATTGAACCATACTCTATATATTCATTTTTGTTTAATCCATGCTGTGAATGTATTGGGAAGGAAAAATTCTGTTTTCTCTATTGATTTTTAAGTTCTTCACTGGGGGCCCTGTAAATTTGATTAAGAAAGGACAGATTGACAGGAGAAAAACAAAAAAAAATTGACCTGCATTATGGTAGCATTAAAAGATGAGTAATTGAAAGGATTGGCTGGAACTTGGCCTTACA
Organism: Homo sapiens; assembly: GCF_000001405.40. Taxonomy (NCBI): domain Eukaryota; kingdom Metazoa; phylum Chordata; class Mammalia; order Primates; family Hominidae; genus Homo; species Homo sapiens. The sequence continues at coordinate 165,104,695 of NC_000003.12, read as the reverse complement.
TACCAACTTAACAAAAGAATGGTAAGTTTTTAGAGAAAAGGAAGTTTATGATTTCAAGGGCAATAAACTGTGGGATGGTAAATAGTAATATATGGGGAGGTAGAATGGAAACTAATTAGATTTTCTGTGAAAGTCCATACGGCACTGACTTTCTGCTGTATGGCCATAGAACTTCCCTGAGCTAGGATATTTATGGCAGTCCTCATTTTTCAGAATTTTCTGATTTTAGTCAGATAAGAGAAGCTCTGAGAAAACTTTTTTCTGTATCTGCTGACTCTCATTTGCCTCCAGCTTAAAATAATCGTTATGCCAACATGGCATATTTTAGCATGGTGTATTTTGATCCTTACAAGTCAATTCAGAGTTCATTCAGTTTTTTCTTCTTCTTTTTTTCATTAAGATGTATTCCATTGTATGGATATAACACAATGTGTTATCAAGTCACTTGTTGATGGATATTTAGGTTGTTTCTAGTATTTAGCTACTACAAACAAAACTGGTACAAATATTTATTTACAAGTATTTATAGAGATCTATGCTTTCATTTCCTTTGGGTAATTATCTAGGAGTAGAATGGCTTGGTAACATGGTACTTGTATGTTTAAACTTTTTAAAAATTCTAAACTATTTCCCCAAGTGATTGTACTTGGGTTCAATTATTCCACATCCTTACTATCACCAGATATAGTGAGTTTTGTTTTTAATTTTACACATTCTAAAAGGTTTGTATTAGTATCTCATGGTAGCTTTAATTTGCAGCTTTTTAATGACCACTGATGTCAAGCATCTTATCATGTGCTTATTTGCTGTAGTAAATCTTGGAAAAATCATTTCAGTATCAAGGGAAATGGAGAGGAGTCAGCTGACAAGATCAGAGAGACCAGTTATGAGTCTGTAAGAATGCAGGCAGGAAGTGATGCATATCTGAGTTAAACAAGAAGGATAAAAGGGCTTTAGTGCAAAAAGCAGAATAGATACAGAAGATATTGTCAAATTTTATTACACTTTCTGTCTGAAGTACACAATTATTATTTGGATCGTTTTATATAAAATGTATTTATGAAATCACAATTTCATGCTATTTATAAATTTCATTATAGTACCTTTCAGGCTGGCGTGAGCTTAGAAACTCACTTACTTTAAGTATAGCACTTCTAATGGTTATGGAATCCCTAATTTTATTGTCACATATTATACCTTTCATATCGCCCATAAAATTATCGCCAGATACATTTTTAATTGCTTATATGTGAACACTTGAATTCTTCCTGGTTCTCTCACTCAACCCACTTAAAAACGTTGTTCAAATGGAATTGATATTATTCATAAATGGCTTGATGAATCCAACAAAGATACTTTTCTGATATCAAATTATCACAAATTATTTTAATGTTCTCAAAATAATATATTCCAGATTTTTTCCTCATTAAATCAGTTTGAACAAAAAATCACTGAAATGCTCCTAAACAGTTACAAAATTTTAAGCTGGATCAATATGCAAAGTCAATAGTATTTGATTCATAGATTCAGTTTTAGTTCTTTCTTTGAAACAAGAAATATTTGCTCATTTTGATAGCTCCATCTCTTTATCTTTCTACAACAATGAAAAATTAGCATTTTTTCTATAATTTTGAAGTAATCTGAGGTACAGCTGATCCAGAACATGAGATTTAATCCCATACTATAGAAGCCAGGCACTCTTGTATATCTTCAGCTTTCTTGAGATTTATTCTTCCACCGTACTGTTTTAGTGAGAAAGTTATTTTATTTGCCAGAGAAGATAATCCCCTACAAAAGGAATAAAGTAGTGTCTGTCATATAATATTACATATAATATTATTTTACCATTTGTCAAAAAGAGTAATACTTTATTCATTTTTCAGTCTAAATGTGGTTTATGGGTCTTAGTAATTTTCACAAACTTCTAATTTAGAACATTATGAGTTCACATAGTTATCTTAAAAACTCATGTGACTCATCTATGTGTTTTTGTTTTTACTCTTTATTTCTATCATTTAAATATGCACTTTGTAAACTTTAAGTTCAGTGAGACTTGTCCTTGCAATTACTCTTTTTATCTTCTAATTTTCTTCTTCATTAATAGCTTTTGATTTCTATGTAAAAATTGTGTTTATGAGAAATTCCCAATAATATTGAATCACATTCTCTGAAGTATCCTACATGGAATCAACAAGTTAATGACATAAAAGACTGTATAGTCATTCATTAATCTTAATCCTCTTGTAAGATGATAATTACAGCTGATCAAAATCAGATGTTTGCTTTTCAAGCAAAGTAAATGTTTTCAAAAGAAAGTTGTAGTAGGTACTTGAATATAATTTCAGCCAATTAATTATCTGCAATTGGAGAGCAATAGAGAGCTTCATACTTTAAATATGCAGAATATAATCCCTTAAGGATTTGGGGGAGAGATAGATAATTATTTGAATATTTCATTGGTTTAAATAATTTGATGGGAGCATCATTTAATTAGATAAGAAGACACATCTAAATATATTGTCTATTTTTCTTCATTTTCTTTTCTTTCCTTTTGTTTGTTTTGCTTTTTCTCTTTTGTTCTACCTTTTTGTTTTTTCTCATTTAGCAAGACTGAAACAGAAAACTGTTTTAATTTTCAGGAATGAAATAAAACTACTGAATAATAGTTCAAAATCAAGTGAGTATAACAAATAGTAGAACATTATTTCTTCTATTATGTGCCTGGAGTCGCAGACTTCTCAAAATATCATTATCATACCAATAAAGCAGAATGAAAAAGTTGTTTTTGTAGGCTGACAAAATTAACATAAAAAGACATTTTAAAAAATTTTTGATTTTAGATTTTGTTTTCCTTTATATCTAAAGAAAAAGTTCAATTGAATTTTCACATTAAACACTTACAAATTCGCACGTTTATGAATGTGATAGTCCTGTTGAATAAGAATTTCATCAATTTAAAAATGTTTATATAATGATCTCTGTTATTGAGGAGTAGCACAGATACTAAGCTACACACACACGGCCCATGCTTACATATAGATGCTAACTGATTAAAAATTAGGTAAATAAACAACTAGATTCTAATTGCGGATACAACCAAATAAACTGATCATTACTTCACAGTGTCAATTGTTAGCATGCTGTTATCTTACGTTTTAACTATTATATTTCTTCAACTTCAACTTAATATTAGGAAATACAATTCTTATCAATAGACTCAGTTTTAAAGTTGCATGATTTTAGCATTCTTCCTTTAATTGGTTATGAAGTACAGGCACTTTAGAACCACAAACATAATTAGGTCACATTAGTCTATAGTTCTTCTCAAATAAAACTGTGATGCAGCTCCAGAGACAAACTTGTAAATTTCTGTCTATATTCCAAGGTTAAGGAAAATAAGCTTTATATCAAATATATTTTTTAAATAAACACCTTGACTAACAAGTAGAAGTGGAAAAAATGAAGTGAGGCAGGGGATTGAGAAGCAGACTGAAGGGAAATGGCAATGATGTGAAATGAGCTGTTTATGGAACTGCTAATCCCCCTGAACTGCTGATTGATACAGGCGTATAGAATTTCTTATTTGTAAGCTTCCTCCTCAATGGAGGTATATTTGTGTTAACTGATGCTGCTCTGAGTTCCTGATGAACTGGGAGGTTAAAAGCTAAACCTTTTCATGGCCCTTCATCTGGATTGTGGCTTAATTGCTCTAGGTGAGTTATTAGACACCATGGTTGCCCAGGGGACTGGAGGCAGTCACTGGAAATTGCCAAGGACAGAATGTTCTGTTTAACTACATGTTGTGTAAAGGACTGTTTCCCTATGTGGATATCACTAATTTAAAATAAATATATATTGTTACATGATAAACAAATTGTGTGACATTTTAAAATTCTAAAGAGACTCAGAAATTAGAGTGTGTTTTGAACATCATTATGGGAACTGAATAATTTTTCATTCTCCAATATATTGAGGAGATGTTCTAGTAATTCTTTGTTTCCTTTATTGTTTATGTTCAGGAGATATGGATGCTCACTGAGATCATAAACCTAAGTTTTGCATGGCTTTTTTTTTTTTTTTTTTAACCAGGGACCAGACTTCATCTCTTAGTATCAACAAAACATTCAGAAAATGGGTAGAAACCAAAAGATGCTAGGTAGTGCCAGACACAGCTATGATAATGCCCTGAGAATGATCTTCTTAGGAGTCTATTAGCACTGCTGGACCCACAACTTCGCTGCTTCCCAGTGAATTATCTCTGGCAGTTAATGTTGCTGCTGAGAGCAAGGAAAGACTCTATGCTCCCTTTTATCGTGAGAGACGGTCCTTGTTTCCCATGTCTGGGATCTTTCCATTAATAGGAAAGATTTTTGAGATTTTATAACTATGATTTTCATTTAGCCAATCTCTGTTGAAGATAAAAGAGAATATCTTGAACAAACTTCAGTGTTTCCTGAGCTTGATGCTTCACTACAATAACAACATTAACTAGTAATAATATACAAGAGGCATTATACAAAATTTAAAACTAATCAAAGATGTCCTTTTTAACACCTTAAATATTTTGTCTTATCTTTTCTTATGGTAACATTTGGCAGTCAGCCTTTTGATTTTATGTTTTATTACTTTGTGTTTATTATCTATGATTCAGTGGGTTTTAATTGTGTCTATAAATAACCTAGAATATATTCAAATATAGACAATGATTTTATTATTCCCTCAGAATGGTGTTGCTTTATTTATCATCAAATAGAATAGTTTTGAGGGTCAGGCGTGGTGGCTCATACCTGTAATCCTAGCATTTTGGGAGACCAAAGCAGGTGGACCGTTTGAGGTCAGGAGTTCGAGACTAGCCTGGCCAACATGGAGAAACCCCATCTCTACTAAAAATACAAAAATTACCTGGGCATGATGGTGGGCACCTGTAATCCCAGCTACTCGGGAGGGTGAGGAGAATCGCTTGCACCTGGGAGGCAGAGGTTGCAGTGAGCCGATATCCTGCCACTGCACTCCAGCCTGGGTGATAGAGCAACACTCTGTCTCAAACAACAACAACAACAAAACAAAACAAACAACAACAGCAATAAAAAGGAAGAGCTTCTTTTTTGCAAGACTGATTTTCTTTACTAATCTACCAACAGCCATTCATTATCTGCTTTATTTTCAGAGTTGGGTACAGTTTAAGGAAAAATAAAACATTCCATGATATATTAGGAGAAAACATGATTATAGAAAATTTTACAAATTATACATCAGAGTAGAATTAAACCAAAGTTCTGTGTAACTTTGAAATAGACATATTATTATTCTCAGTCTCATCAAACTGTCTGTAAAATGGGAATTATGGGTTATACTTAACATAATTTTGTTAAGATTAAAAGTTATTTAGGTAAGACATTTAGTACATAATGTTCATAGCTAAGTCCACATACATAAAACCATTAGGGAACAAAACAGAATTACCTAGTATTAAATGTATTTCTAAAAATCTATAGAAATTCTGAGAAGGGGAAAAGCTTAAGAGCTGAGATGATCAGAAGCTTCGTGCAAGATCTGACATGAATTCGCCTATCTAATGAAAGATGTTAGATAGCTATTGAGGATGGTTACTTTAGAAATAGTGGCACTAAAAAGGTCTTGAAACATTTTAGGAGCAAGTTGAGAAAAAGAATACTGAATTTGGTTTCAGAACTGTCGACTTTGAAGCATAGAAGCACATTCAAGTAAAAATGTGTGGCATTTTGTTAGGCATATTGTAGCTTAGGTAAGAAGATGATACTAGACAAAAAGTACAATAGAAAGTTTGGGACATAGTAGTTTTGATAAGAAAAAGAATTAGAAAAACAAATTTAGTAGTTTTCAGCATACATACAACAATTAAAGAAAAAATTCTCTGAGGGGTAGGATTTTAAGAAAATACAGAGGTCTAAAGTAATTTTAAATTCAGTAAACCGTATTATTTTTGCTGTTCTTTTAAGACATGCTCAATATTCCCTTCACAATTATGAAAAAAAATTCCACTTTTAAAAGGCAAATGTTGTTTCCATGAAATCCTAGCTGAAAAACACAAATATAAATCTAATTTCATTTTAGCTAATATACTGGTAAAAAGAAATGCTTCATTTATGAATCAGCTAGCTACATCTTTTCTAATGGAATTTTTCTTTCCCAAATACTTTATCCATTTGGTATAAACAATCCTTGAGAAGCAGTAAAGTGTCTTTATTTTCTGGTAATGTACACTTTCTAAAAATATCCTGGGTAAAGAATATAAAGTAAAAAACAAAAGTAAAGATAAATTGTAGATAAAAGAAAATGTAATGTTTTTCATCACCTTAAGTTATAACTGAAAATATATTTATAGGCTGGGCGCGGTGGCTCATGCCTGTAATCCTAGCACTTTGGGAGGCAGAGGCGGGCGGATCACGAGGTCAGGAGATCGAGCCCATCCTGGTTAACACGGTGAAACCCCGTCTCTACTAAAAATACAAAAAGTTAACTGCGCTTGGTGGCGGGCGCCTGTAGTCCCAGCTACTCAGGAGACTGAGGCAGGAGAATGGCGTGAACCCAGGAGGCGAAACTTGCAGTGAGCCGAGATCACACCACTGCACTCCAACCTGGGCGACAGAGCGAGACTCCGTCTCAAAAATAAAAAAAAAAAAAAGAAAAGAAAAAGAAAATATATTTATAAGTTTTTTATTGCCAGTTCATGACAGAAAGTTTTATCTGATGCAGATGATTTCATTTTCTTATAGATTATTAATCAGCAATTGATTACGATTAGAGATAGTCATATCAGATGCTTTCCCTTTAAGACAAGTTGTGCATTCAAGATGTGACTATTATAAGGATCGTTATAATCAAATGCTTTATTCACTAGTAATTTTTGCTCTAAAATTGCACAAATAATTTTACGTTTATACTGTACACCTAAATATATTTTAAACCACCAAAAAGCTAGGATGGACTCATCATTTATTATTATTATTTTAGTTATACCATGTCTCTTAATATCTTTAACTACTTTCAAGTGTAATCCAAATTCTCAATATTACTTTTTCTGATATTGAAGATACTTGTCTTAATATATTATTTTAATAATTTTCCTCGTCTCATAAACTTAATATATACATTCTCATAAATTTCTTTTCTAGTATTCTTTTTTTCTGTTTTTCAAAAATACCTTTTTTAAGGAAGGAGAAAATAAGATGGAAAGGATAATGGATAATATTTACATTTATATCTCAAGTACTTGCGCGCACGCGCTCACACACACACACACTGAACCTCCTTGGGTATACAGTTGAATTGTTGCTACTCAAATTTATTCATCTTTCACTTTGGAGACCAGAGAGCAAGAAACACAATGTAGTCCTGATAATGAGTAATAGAGTTAGTCTTCTGGTTTTAACCTTTTATGTTTCCAGAGATTTAAAACATATTAAATGATCCCAAATTGTATCTTTCTTTTTTAATACCATAATATGTATTTCTGGGATTTCACGCATAGTTTTTTCACAGTTGATATCATTATTAGTTTACTTAAATTCATTGAGCCTTAGATTGAGGAAAATTTTTTCAGCTTTAATCACACCTAAGGATATCTTTTTTTTTTTTCCAAATAGTCCTAATTGGACTATCCCAATTAAATGTCCTAACTATATGAAACCACTACTTTGTGATCACTGATATTAAAACTTGCTCTTTTTTTTCCATTGTAAAAGTATGAGAAAAATTCAAGAAAATATTCAAATATAGTAGTTTCACAAAGATTACTCCACAGTTGTTAGGTAGCATTGAGTAGCTCAATTTGTAATTGCTTAGAATTTTTTTCATCTGCTGATGTCTAGAAGTCTAGATTGGAATATGAAGGTAGTTTATGGTGCCAGTATACAGGAGAATGTGTAGGAGAATAAAAAATTGAAAACGGGAAGGTTAAGCATTCTACTATCTATACTTGGATTAAGCAAGATAAGCAGAAATTTAATCATAAAATGCCATGGTTTTGACTATAAAATTGATTATACTGAACTACCTCCCTGAATAGACCCTTTATTAATCTGTCCTCACACTGCTAACAAAGACATACCCTGAGATACAGTAATTTATAAAGGTAAGAGGTTTAATGGCTCACAGTTCCACATGGCTGGGGAGGCCTCACAATCATGGCAGAAGGCAAATGAGGAGCAAAGTCATGTCTTATGTGGTGACAGAAAGAGAGCTTGTGCAGGGGAAATTCCATTTATCAAACCATCAGATCTCATGAGACTTATTCACTACCATGAGAACAGTATGGTGGAAACCGCCTCCATGATTCAATTATCTCCACCAGGCCCTGACCTTGATACATGGGCATTATCACAATTCAATGTGAGGTTTGGGTGGGGACACAGCCAACCATATCTGACCCATTTTTGTTTGGGTCTATATTGAGAGGACAAATGGATGAAACTTACTGCCTTAGACACTGTAACAAGGTGAGGTGATATCCTTTACTTTCCTGTACCCTATACACCAAGACCCGTGAGATAAATATATTCACACTCTCAATATAAGAAACTGATGTGAGCTTTGTGGACAACTGGTTTGATTTTATTTATGAACACTGGAAATTACGTAACTAAGTCTGACTCATTTGGCAGAGACTACTAGAGAGCATAAAATAAAATTTGTTATGATCTGTTCGAATATTGAGGAAATTACATCATCAATATTTGTGTTATCATTAATTCTGGTTTCTTCTAATCATATTTCATGTTTTCTATCATCTTTCTTTTTTTCTCTCTCTCCTGCTTTTCTCATACACTCATTTCAAATGTTAATCTATTTTATGATGTTGTTTATATGTAAGTAAACTATAAGTTCTTTTTGTTATTCACTGAGGTAATCATATGTAAACAAGAAAGATTACTTGCTAACACATTGAGTGATGTTTGGAACACTGAAAGAGTGTTATTAAGATGGTTGGCAAATATACACAAATATTTATAAAACAAGAAAAGGGAGATAAGAGGAATCTAATGTACCATAATGGGGTTTCAGGGATAAAATGGCTGTTAGCTAGGGTGAATCAAGTGGGGTGGAGGAGTTCAGAAAAGTCTTCATTATAGTGAGGGCATTAGACTTGATCTTTAAGGAGTTCAGACTTTAAATATCAGTGCTGTGCTATATGAAATATAATTCTTGTAAATCTATTGAAGTTTCAAGTGAAATTACTTCTAAAATTTTAAATTTACATTTCTTATTATAGCAGCCTGTCCAAATATTTTAAGCTAAGTAAGAGAAATAAATTTCCCCTCACTGATTTGATATGGTAACCTTCCTAACATTGGCAGATTTTAGGAAGGTTTGTTTCGTTCAGGTTTACTAAGTAACTCTGTCTAACATTTACCAATTTACATGTTTCAGGCATGCCATTCACTATGAGAAATGAAAACATGATAAAAAGTTAAAAACATAAAAATCATATAGTGAATTACAGGCTATTTCATGTTTATTATCTTAAAGAAATACTTCAATTACAATAACTTGAGGGAATAAAATATGAACTTACAGAAAAAAAAACAAAAACAGGCAAAACTTCAAACACAAAACCCCATGATCTTATTCTGTTACAATTATTGTACAAGTATAAAATAAGGAGAAAATAAGAAGCATCTGTTTTTTCTTACTTATTCATACAGAGCATCAGATCTCAGAAATTAAGAGGATAAAGTATCAAAATAAAAAAATCAATGCAAAAATCAATAACCATCTGCAAAAGCAAAGACTTTCATTCTGGAAAGCACTGTGACTGCCAGCGATAATCAGACCCAATCTTATTTGATCTTAATGCACTTTACTTTTTAAAATACATTATCAAATGTGTTATATTTAAATACATTATCAAATGTATCAAAAGACAAGAAAATACAATCTCAGGATAGGAAGAACTGAATTTGTGGCTTAAAATCAATAAACTATTTACACAAAGATAAAATTTAAATAAACATACAATAATTACTTATGTTGATTTATTTTTAGTATTAGAAATGAGGATGCAATAAACATACATATGCATGTGTCTTTATGGTAGGATGATTTATAATCCTTTGGGTATATACCCAGTAATGAGATTGCTGGGTCAAATTGCAGCACTATTCACAATAGCAAAGACTTGGAACCAACCCAAATGTTCATCAATGATAGACTGGATAAAGAAAATGTGGCACATATACACAATGGAATACTATGCAGCCGTAAAAAAAGGATAAGTTCATGTCCTTTGCAGGGACATGGATGAAGCTGGAAACCATCATTCTCAGCAAACTAACACAAGAACAGAAAACCAAACACCACATATTCTTACTCATAAGTGGGAGTTGAACAATGAGAACACATGGACAGAGGGAGGGGAACATCACACACCATGGCCTGTTGTGGGGTAAGGGGCTAGGGGAGGGATAGCATTAGGAGAAATACCTAATGTAGGTGACAGGTTGATGGGTTCAGCAAACCACCATGGCACGTGTATACCTATGTAACAAAACAGCACATTCTGCACATATACCCCAGAACTTAAAGTATAATAAAAGGGATCCCAGAAAAAAAAAAAAAAAAAAAGAAACGAGGATGCGAACTCTTTTGGTTTCCAACAAATTCCTTTGTACTTATTAAAGTCTGTAACCAAAAACAAAATAAATTGAAAATAACATAAACAAAGCAGAGTGAGAGGTGGAAATAATTGGATTTGAGATGTTTATGTACTAAGTCTTTAGGATATTAGAGTTAAATATTACTGTATTTTAACCACTGTTTGTCTCGCTGTCTTCTCCACTTAATTGTGTAAAGCAAAGTATTGTCATTTTTGCTATTTATCATTTGTGCCTAAAACAATGTCTGATAAAAAGTTGCTAAATATTGATGAATAAATAAATTTAAAGTACAAAATCTATCTCATAGCAATTAGCTTTCAGAACTGAAGGTCTCTTGGAAATTATAATGTATTTGTGACAAAAATTGCACTTACTCTATAAAATATTTGAAAACTAAAAAAAAAAATTGACTTTCTCACTTCAATTTACTTAATTAAATATTTATTCTAATTTAGAGACATAAGGGATGCATTTAAGACATATTTGCCGTTTTTGAGGGGCTTTGTGGTGTCATTAATATGACAAGTATGTGGCAAATTGTAAAGAAAGAAAAGTGTGATTTAAACAAGAATTTATAGAAGTTGCCTCTCTTCTTATTTTACGACTCTTAATAAAATCAGACTCCAAGGCTGAAATCAAGGTGTTTCTGTTTTATCTTGAAGCAAAACTGATCTACCAAAATATTTTAACTGCATTGATAATGGTATTATTAACCTACTCTGTTTACCTGAACTAAATTACCTGCCTAGTATTTATTTGACTTTTCCTTTTTTTAATAGAAAATATTTAACTTATGGTTAACCTTTCTTACGTTTTACATTTTAGGTAACTTTCACCTCACAATAAATGGTAGTTGCCCAGGAAAAAGCAAAGCTATGTAAATTTACATCCATAAAATTGAATGTATATATATATAAATAATATATATGATATTATATATAATATATATATTATATTATATTATATATTATTTATATATTATAATATATATATAATATATAATATTATATATTATTTATAATATAGATTATATATTATATATAATATCATATATTATATTATATATAAATATATATATATCATATAATATATTATATATAAATATATTATATATTTATATATAATCTATATTATAATATATAATATTATGTATAATATTATATATTATACATAATATTATATATAATAATATAGATTATATATAATGATATATATATTATATATTATATATAAATAATATATATAATATATAATATAATATATATAATAATATATATATAAAATAAAGCAATAATTTTGATTTTGAATAACTTTCATTTATGTAGGAAATTAAAAATTAATGTTATTTGTTACATAGTCTTATTAAATATCTTTTCAGTATCTCTATGCATAATTTAACTTATGCAGTTTTACTTTAAATTGTGATGATCAATTTACTTAATCAAACACTTGGTAAATTTATTACTACTACTCTAGTTGCTCAGATGTGAATGCCGTCTTTAATGAGTCTAAACCATATAGATGAACAAAAAATTCCAGTCAGAATTTAGTGAACTCAAATTTCTTATCTTGTACATTATATTGGATGATGACATCTGATCTTACATTCTAAATAAGCTACTAGACTATAATATCTATGAAAAATAATTTATAGCTAAATATATAGCTGAAAAGAAGCCCCCATGATCAGATTATTTCACTGATAAATTCTAACAAACATTTAAGAAAGAAATAATGCCAATGCTTTATAAATACTGAAGAGGAAGAAGATTATAGAAGAGGAGGAAGCACTTCCCTGTTTATTGTATGAGGTCAGCTTTACACAGATATCGAACCAGACTAAGTAATTAGAGACTAGTATCCTCATGAACAGAGACACATGAAAGCCCAAGAAAATACTAGAAAATAAAACCAACCATATGTATTATAATAATACATATGATCCATGTATAATAATACATATAATAATACATATGGTTACGATAAATATATAATAATACATGTAATACATATGATCATGTAGAATTTATTCTATAAATGAAAGACTTTTTCTAACATTAGTAAACTAATCAAGGAAATTCACCAGTTTAACAGAAAGAAAAGGAATTTGATCATCTTAATACAAGCTGAAAAGCTTTAAGTAAAAATTAGCATCCATTTAGCCAAACAAGAAAGGTAACTTTTTCAACCTGATCAAGAGTATCTACAAAGAAAAACCCTATAAATAACATTACTTAAGATAGTGAATGATTGTAGGGTTCCTCTGTGATCAGGAACAAGGCAAAAATGATTAGTCAAATCACCCCTATTTAACATTGTTTTGGAGGTCTCAGTGCTATAAAACAAGGAAAAGAAATAACAGACGCAAACATTTTTGAAGAAGAAATAAAACTTACTCTATAATCAGACAGCGTGGTCATTGTTGTAAAAGTCTCAATGATTATCAATAATGGTACAAGAACTCTGTGAGTTTAGCAAAATTGCAAGATACAAGATCAATATACAAAAATCATTCGTATTTCTATAATTAACACTTAAAATTAAAATTTAATATAAGAAATGTATTTTACACTAGCACCATGAAACACAGAAACATTAAGGTGTAACTTTTAAAAAATATAAACAAGATCTGCATGCTGAAAACTTCTAAATGAAGAAACCAGAGAGCCTAAATATATCGGAAGATATGCCATGTTGATGGATTGAAAGACTCAATACTGTTATGATGTAATATCTCTCGAAACTGATCTATAAATTCAAGGCTATCACAAGTAAAATCTCAGCAGGAATTTTTGGTAGAAATGTCCTAACTGATTCTAACATGTATGTGTGTGTATATATATATATGGAATTCAAATAAGTAAAGCCATTTTGAAAAAGAACAAAGCTAGAGGATGAACTCTACCAGTTTTCAAGAATTACTCTAAAACAGTAAATAGTGTAGTATTTGAGAAATGCTAGACATAGATCTTTGGAACAGAATAGAGTCCAGAAATGGACCCACACTTATATAGACAATATATTTTGAATATAGGTGTGAAAGTTATTCAATCGAGAAAGAATACATTGGTTTCTAATGAATGGCACTGGAAAAACTGTACATCCATATGCAAAAAATAAATCTTCCCAGATTTTACACAGTTAATAAAAATTAAGTCACCATGGGTTAGGCAAAGACTTTGTAGATATGACACTGAGGTGATGAACCAACAACTACAAAAAAAGTTAAACTTTAAAAAATTAAGAAAATTAAAACTATGTTACATGAAATGAAAATTTCACATGGTCTTTGCAAATTAAATATATAATAAATATGCAAAATTTTATATAATTATGTATACATTATATAATCACATTATATATTTTATATAAGCTGTATAATCACATTGATAGTATATTCAATCAATATATAGTCAGCTATGTAAGTCTGTTTTAAATGCATGAATTTATTTATATAACTACATACATAAGTATATTAGTTACACATTACATATTTTAAATTATATAACTGATTATATATAACACATATGATTATTATAATTATTACATATATTCTGTATTATACAATAACATTACATTGAATATATATGTCACATATGTAGTTATGTATACTTACATGTACGTTTTTCTTTGTGGCCTCATTATAAGTGTACATCAATGGTTGAAAAGTTCCTTTCATTTAAAGTTTAAAATTTTTACATATAAAGCAATATATATGTATATTTTAGTAAACAACACAATTTTATTTCTCACAGTTCTAGAAGCTGGAATTTAGAGATCACGGTGGCAGCGCGGTCAGGCTCTGGTGAAGACTCTCTTCTGAGTTGCAGACTGCAGACTTCAGATTGTATGCTCACCTGGCAGAGACAATGCGGGGGGGTTCTCTCTCTCTCTCTCTCTCTTTTTTTTTTTAAATAAATGCAGTAATTCTAATTATAAAGCCTCCACCCTCAGTTCCTAATTAACTCCGATCTCCTAATACCATTACATTCAAGGTTAAAATTTCCACATGTACATTTTGGGGAGAAAAACATTGTCTATTGCAATTCCCAAGATTTCATTACAAAAAGAGCTGTCATTTTCCACCTTCTTGCTCTGTCCTATGTTTCTTGCCTCAATCTCTGTCTTTGTCTCTGTCTCTCTCTCTTGTTTCTCTCTGTGCCTCTCTGTCGTATTTTTCAAACTGAGGATGTGAGCTCCAATGTTATAAGGTGCCCTGTGTAGATGCTTACATGCCGGAGAACGGAGAGAGTGCCTAGGCCAACAGACAGGGAGGAACTCAAGCAGAGAGTAATTCAGTCCACACTGAATCCTGGTAGCTCGTCCAATCCAGGTTCATTTGAGACCACAGTCCCAGCCTCATCAGAGACCCTGAGGAAAGGCACCCAGCTAAGCGGTGCTGATTCTGGTCCACACAAATTGTGAAATATTAAGTAGTTGTTTAAAATGCTAAGCTTTGGGGTGATGTTGTCAAAGAAGAGCAGATCGCTAACCTCATCTCCCAGGGCCCAGGATCCTTCTTCTCTCTGCTCCTGCTCCCCACCCTCAGAATCTCTACAGCCACACTGGCCCCTTATTCACTTTTGGCAGATTCACTTCCAGTTGTGAGTGTCTGTACCAGGGGTGGCTTCTCTTTGACACTGTTTCCAGAATTGCATAGGGTTGGCTCTCTAAAGTCATTCTGGTCATAACATAAATGTCACCTCAGTGGGGCATTTGGGTCGTGTCTTCTTAACCCTCTCTCCCAACATCTTTATTTTTACTTATAAATCAATAGTTTAATCTCTCCTGTTTCTATTTAATATTTGCTCTTTCATTAGTTTTATATCTTTATCACTTCCGTCTGAATTCTAGAAGGACATCTCTGTTTTTCTTTTGTATCTTCTGATTTAAATTTGCCAATATGAAAACTAAAGACAGCCATAACAATGTTCTTCAAAGAAGACGAATATACCAATTTAATTAAAAAAAAAAGAAAAAAGAAAAAAGAAAAGGCCGTAAAAAGTTAAAACCAAGACAGCAAATTTGGGAGGTGAAAAAGTTCATTTGAATGTGGGTCAAAGGTCTCATTTCTAAGTTGATGATCAAAAATATTGTTTTTAGCTTGATAATGTTACCTAAAATTTAATTATCAAAGCAATATTGATTTTATAGTAAATAGCAATATAAACTGAATCCAAATCATAGTTAAAGTTTAGTTCTTAGTATCTATGTACAGGAATATTTGTCCATTTTCTTAATATGTTTTTCTAAATGATTTAGTCAGAAATTGGTAGACCATGTTAAAAGGTTTAAAAAAAAAACCTTTAAAATGTTTATATTCAGTTCGGGTTCTGAATTCTGAATTTTAATGCTACCAGCAATTTGACCCATGTTGTTTTATTTTTTAAGTGTATTTATTATTTATTTATTTATTTTTTGAGACAGAGTCTTCACTCTGTCGCCCAGGCTGGAGTGCAGTGGCACAATCTCGGCTCACTGCAACTTCTGCCTCCCAGGTTCAAGAGATTCTTCTGCCTCAGCCTCCTGAGTACCTGGGACTACAGGCACACACCACTGCCTAGCTAATTTTTGTGTTTTTAGTAGAGACGGGGTTTCACCATATTGGCCAGGCTGGTCTCGAACTCCTGACCTCATGATCCACCCACCTCGGCCTCCCAAAGTGCTGGGATTCCAGGTGTGAGCCACCACATCTGGCCTATTTATTTATTTTTTGAGAGAGAGTTTCTCTCTTGTTGCCCAGGCTGGAGTGCAGTGGTGTGTTCTGGGCTCACTGCAACCTTAGCCTCCTGAGTTCAATGGATTCTTCTGCCTCAGCTTCCAGAGTAGCTGGGATTACAGGCATGTGCCACCATGCCCAACTAATTTTTGTATTTTTAGTAGAGACAAGGTTTTGCCATGTTCTCCAGGGGGGTCTTGAACTCCTGACCTCAGGTGATCCACCTTCCTCAGCCTCCCAAAGTGCTGGGATTACAGGTGTGAACCACTGTTCCTGGACCTTTATTTTTTATTTTAATTTTACATACATATGAATTTTTTATTGTCTTAAGTAAAAATAATTTGCATGAAGAATTGTAATTCCTACATATATACATAAATAAGCACGGGTTAGCATTTCTCCTGTAGTATACCTTCTGGCATTAAAACTTCATAGAATGTACGTATCTCATTGCATCACCAAAAATTTGCCTCAATACATTTTAATCAGCTAATGTGCCATCACTAATATGTTTACTGAATAAGGTAAATAAAGGAGGATACTATACCATCCACGTTTTTATGGGCACACATTATTTAGCATAGTTGGATAATTAATATAAATCTGATAGCAAAATTAAACTGGGATATCTTTTGTAGGATAGTGGAGCCTGAGGTAAAAAGTATAAAACTTATGCCTGGAAATGGTTACATTTTTGCCTTTGCTAGGCCTTTGTTGTGGAATGTCGTGTCACTCTAGTTAGGAGCTAAACTGGGTTTGGATATTGCTGTTGCTATGAGTACCCTAATTGAACTATAAGCTTCAAATATCTATAGAATCTCCTTAAGATTGAAGCAGGGGTGGTTGTAAGGATGGTTGGCTTGCAGAGTGTGTTTTTCTGGATATCTGCTGACCCTTGGCTTTAGGTCATATATTTTCCTCTGTGCCTCAGAGAATATCTCTTTCCATTCTCTTGACCATTCCCTTAACAGTAGACTACTGTTCCCTGTTTCTCAATGCTTTTTACCTGGTTTGATAAGGGTGTCGTTCTCTGTTCTAGTTTGGCCTCCATTATAGCAGGTGCTGTGTACCTGGGTCTCAAGGGTGTGGTCTACTCAGTGATTCTGTCCCAACCCAGTGGCAAGGAGACCCTCCTGGTGGTCCAGGTCCAAAACATATTTCTACCCATTCTCCAAGACAGTTTTTTGTTTGTTTGTTTTGTTTTGTGTATTTGTTCGTTTGTTTCTATTTCATTGCCCTAGCTTCAGGTCTTCACCTGTGTCCTAAGGACACCAGATTTGTTACCTTTTCCCAGCATCCTAAGGCCTTTGCTCTGTAGGGGAGCACGTGGGATATTGTACTTTTCTTGCAGTAGCAGTCATATATTTCCACTGAAACTGTCTCATAAGGGAGGGATTCACAAAACTCTCCACCCAGTCTGCAGTTCTACGCATGAGAACTTGTGAGTGGGTGCAAATTCCCCTGTGCCTTTGGCTGACAGAGTTTCCACACTCTCATGATTGCCCACACTCAGCTTTAGCAATTCATTACAGGTTCCAGTGGCATACTCCTTACTCACTTGCATGGCATTAATGCCCATCTGCTTCAAGAACACAAGAGCTAATATCCTGTAACTCTTTGAGTTCTTCTGGATTTACTTAGATTTTGAGTTAATAGTTTTACTGTAACTCCAACTGCCAAATGGGTTCAAGGAAAGTTGTATTTTGAAGAGTATTCAAATGTTTTCTTATAAATGTGGTAGCCTTATGACCTTTCCAACTTTCTAAATTTTGTGCAGAAGGCAGAATCTAGACATTTTGAAGCATAAACTACTTTTTGAAAAATCCTGTTGCCAAATTAACCTAACAAAAAAGTAGAAAGTCCTAACAATTCTGTATTTGTGAAAGATGCTGACATATTATTCTCATTAAAGCATGTCTTGATGTGGTGTTTTCAGTTTTGTGCCAGCAACCTAGTTCCTATCCAAAGCACAGCATTAGATGTTTCTAGGATCTTTTGTTGGGTAAGAGTGAAACAACTCATTAGGTTCATGTATTATGGGTGACATGTAACATGGATTTTTTTCTCAATTAGGATTTCTTTTTTTTTGAGACGGAGTCTTGCTTTGTTGCTCCAGGCTGGAGTGCAGTGGCACAATCTCAGCTCACTGCAACCTCTGCTTCCTGGGTTCAAGCAATTCTCCTGCCTCAGCCTCCCAAGTAGCTGGGATTACAGGTGTGCACCACCATGCCCTGCTAATTTTTGTACTTTTAGTAGAGACATGGTTTCACTATGTTGACTAGGCTGGTCTCGAACTCCTGACCTCAAGTGATCCACCCACCTCGGCCTCCTAACATGCTGGGATTACAGGGGTGAATCACCACACCTGGCCAGGATTTCTTTTAATATAATTTGAGTACTACAATGTAAACCTAAAATGAACCCCAACTATTAGTCTGATGTCATATTGTAGCTATAGAACTTTGCGTATTCTGGGGAAAATAATTACAATGCTAGTATTGTAACATTTGTCTTGTATATTCTGAAAACATCAAAGAAGTTTTTAACAACATAAAATGTCTTCACAATGGCTGATTCTCTCATTTTAATTGAACACTTTTCCAATTTATTCATAAAAAGTTTAATAAATTGAGACTTTTGCATCCAGTAGAAGTGCACACATTGTTTATGAGGCAGTGATTGTAGAAAGGGAATATTATTCTTTCATTTATTCTCCCTAATACAGATATGGCATTATTTAACATACCGATAGGTTAGAATGGTCATAAAAATCTCACACTGTGGTAAATGTGAATATTAGAGCTGGACAGCGTTTCTTGATTATGTTGGTGGCCATTGGCTTAGAAAACATTTGAGTTAAATAAGCAATTGAACCCATATTTTGTGCCCAAAAACTTATGTTTCTAGAAATAATTGATTATGTGGATGAATACAAAAAGGAGTTTTGGAAGATGATTGCTGTAATCTTGATTGAAGAATTAGAAAGGTCCACGTCTTGGAGATGCTTACTCATAGAGACTGCTTCATTACTTTCAAAAAATTTATACTTGAATTGATTTCAAATGTACTTTTAGTAACTGCTAGTTAATTAACAAATATTATTCCAATTAGGTTTTATGTGTGAAGAAAAGATAAAGTAAATGTTTAATCCCTGTTTCATTGATAAGTTACTATCATTGTTAAAACCTTCATAGAATTAGAATTAAAAATTAGTTTGAGAGAGTCTGGTGAACACCCAGGTCTATGAAGTTTTACCAATTAACTTTAATAGTATAGCAATAACCTTAGAGAAATTTGAAGAAAAAACAAGTTTCTAAGCTGGTTTTAGGATTCTCAATTTATTTGCCAAAGAAATATGGCCACAAGTTTCTGTCAAATATTTAATTAAAAGTAGGTAAGCCTCACAGTGCTCTAAGGAGAGTGGATTAATTTCAGAGTTGCCTCACTTTATTTTTATTTATGTTTACTGTTATTTGTGAAACTTCTGTTTCAGGAATGTATAAGTTAATAACCGTTACAGAGAAATCATGTCCTGTTTAAATTTCTTATTGTCTCTAGTCTTTTTAGAATAGCTGTTTCCAATATGTGAACAAATATTTCACATTCCAAAAGTGATATTTTCTGTAATAAATTTCCTAGAATAAAATATGGAAGTAGGAGAAAGAAAATTATTAACAAGCTGAATATTTTAGGACTGGAATATTTCAGGAAGGAAATGTATTTTCAATTATATTTATAATATTTATAGTGATAATTATAAATATTCTCAGACATTCATTTTCATTAGTTGTTAATTTTTGTGTATTTCATAGCATGGATAATATTATACAGAAAAAAATTTTTACATATCAAATGACTGAAACTTACTAGGTAGCAATTTGTTTTGTCAATTTGCTTCAGTGAAGATTAAAGAATGTTTTTTAAATATAACTGGGAGGAAGTTCCCCAAGAACTTATGTTTGAAATCAACCAGCTCTTCTCCATCTATCTTAGTCTGTCTGGGTTTCTGTAACAAAATACCACAAACTTGGTGGTTTGTAAACAATAGAAATTTAATTCCCACAATCATGGGTGTTGAGAAATCCAAGATCAATATGCTGCCAGATTTGATGTCTGGTAAGGACCCATATCCTTGGTTTATAGATGGTGCATTCATGTTGTGACTTCACAAGGTGGAAGGGGCATAGGTTCTTTTTGGGGCCTTTTTTATAGAAAAGCACTATTTTCATTCACAAGAGCTCCATCTCAATGACCTAATTACCTCCCAAAAGCCCTAATTCCTAATAGCATCATCTTTAGGGTAGGAATTTCAGCATATGAATTTGGAGGGGATGTAAACCTTCAGACCATAGCACCATCCAAGTCCACAGTTCACATTTCAAAAATGCAGATTTGACAACACAAATAAGACTTTTGTCATCAAACAACAAAGCATGAGTGAAACTCCTTTTCATTTTACAATTATCTATAATGATATTATAATCCTTTTAAGGTTTTTGTTTTTTATTATTTCTTCTTAGTCTTACATGTTTATTCAGTGTATCTATGCAAATAGTTTCCTGATTCATAAAAATACTTGGCAAGTTACATAATGGAAGGCCAAAGAAGGTAATAGATAATGCACATAATCCAACTAAGAACTTCTAGATCCATAGTAGAGGTACTTAACATTTTATTATTATAATTCATAATTCAATGGCCAATATCTTGTCATATGTTATTAAATGAGTATGAAACAAGCTACTCTAATGAAAAGATTCAAATGTTCACTGGGTAAAGGAAGATAGATTATTTCTTTTTCATTTACTATTCAGAAGAAGGTGAACGATCTAGGGTAGACAGGTAGCTATGTTCCACAAAGTTGTCATGGAATCTTATGAGCCTTCTAACTTTTTACTCCACTATCTCCAAGGAAATACATAGTCAAAGCTGACCTACAGAAATACATATGTGTTTGGTTCATAGAATGAAGTAAAGGATGAATGAGAGAAAGCTGTTTCTTTTTTTAAAAAAAAATGTACTATGGAAGTCACAAGCATGAAATCAGGTTTCATCCCATTGACTAGAATTTAGCTACATACACAAAATTAGCAACATGAAGGGTTTAATAGCATAGTCTGGACAGCCACATACCCTATTAAATTTAGGTGGTTCTATCACTAAAAGAAAGAAAAGAGAGAAAATGAAAAATTAGCTGTTAATGGTTAGATTATAATAAACCATGTTTTTAACAAGGCCATATTGTAGCTGCAAAAATTGACTTTTGAGTATGTTGCTGTTTTATTACCAATGATATATCCCTAGCATGATTTTGTTCCTCCAGTGTCCTGAACAAAGATTATGATACCTGGCAACTATGTTACTGAATTGCTCTTACTTCTGGACATTATTCAATTCAAAGCTAGCCTTCCTTTCTCTAGCCTCTATAGCCACACAGCACAAGTCTAAATCCTATAATAAGCCTCTTCCAACTTCCTGTTACTAAGAGACCCTGCTCTTCCTTGTTTGACCACATTTGAGTTCTGTATAGACTTTGACTGGTGAGCTTTGATAAGGGAGAATTGATATGGATATACAAGTGGCAGTCACTGCTATATTCTACTGTATATAAAACATCCTGAAAAGCATTTTGAATTAAGCAAAGGCAAGGAAAGCATTGTCCTGGCTCTCTCTGCATTTCCAGTCTCACATGACCAATTGAAGCAATTATGGATAGCTTTAATATGAGACAAGCTAAGACAGCACTATACTACAAGCATGAAACACATTGTTATGAAGGGAAAAGTAGGGGAGATGAAATGGCAAATATGAAAGGTATAGGGTTTTAAAAATAAGGTTAAGAAATTTGGTTCTCCGCCTCCAGGCATTAAGTATCATTGGACTACTGCACTGGGCATATAATGAGTTGAATTATTTTGTGGTGAGAGGTGGGTGGTTTTACTTTAGAGAAAAGAGAAAAGTTGAATAACTGGAGTTTGGGAGACCAGTTAGGAAACAATTACAATAATGTAATTGTTATACCAGTAGCAGCAAATAAATAGAATTACGTATGAGACACTGAGGAAGAGCACTTGCAGAATTAAGTGTCAATATAGAACGCTTAACAAAAAGGAATTAAAAGTCTTGAGCTCACGTTGCTTGGGGAGATGTAAAGATATCAATTGAGATAGAGCTAGATAAAGAATTGTCTTGATGGAGCTGGTAAAGAGTTCTACTTTAGACTGTTGAAGATATCTGGAAATTTGGGTATGAAGCTTCTAAGAATCGTTACATCTAGAGATACATCTAAAAAGTCATCTGTGCTATTTATTAGCAAATGTGTGATGTTATTTATTTATCTATGCATCTGTGTGTAAGACTGGAATACTAGCACTTGTATATGCCTTATT
Source organism: Homo sapiens (assembly GCF_000001405.40). NCBI lineage: Eukaryota > Metazoa > Chordata > Mammalia > Primates > Hominidae > Homo > Homo sapiens. The sequence continues at coordinate 165,081,953 of NC_000003.12, read as the reverse complement.
TTCTGGAAGCTCTTCACGTAACTCTCCATCGGTCTTTCCAATGGTTCTGGTGTCTTGCCCCTGAATTTGTTTTCTCCTTCTTCTTCTAAAATCTTTTGTATCCAGTATTTTTTATGACCCAGGCAGGAACCTTGGCTTCCCTTTTTATATTTGTGTTCTATTGCACCTGCTTCTGTCTTCTAGGAGAAAGAACTCAAACAAATTCAACACCTCCCAGAGCCTTCTTCCATTCCTTCTTCTCTTGCCATGTGGCTGTTTTCTTTCTAGTTTTTTCACAGGCCTCTAAAAGAAGCAGAACATTTTTTATTATTTAATATTTTGAAATATCTCTGCATTATCGCTGTGAAAATTCGATTTTTGTCTTTTTGTTGCATCCTGGTGGCAAGTAACATATAAAACTAGTATATTAAATCATGTAACTTTTAACCTAAGGTGCATATTTGAGGTCCATGATTTAACTACTGTAGACGTCCATGATTTAACTACCATATGTTTGAAATTCTGACATGCACATTTCAGAGACAAAGTACATAATACTCCCTAAAGAGAGTAGTTGAACATTAATCTGTTCTAATTACACTAGGTGTCAATCACCAGTTATGATTCACTTTTGGTGTTCACAACTCATCCTGCCTGCTGACTATCCAACTCAATTTGGGGATCATTTTGCTTATGAAGTTTTAAAGTTTTTGGACAACTTTATATTAATAATTGAAATTTTAAGAATTTATATTTGTTTTTAAATAAAATGATATGTTTTAAGTTAAAACACCTTTTTAATTACTGTACATAACTTCCTTATGCTTATAATTGAATACATTTATTTTGTGATTTTTATCTGAATTTACCTTCTAAGCATTTTTTGAACACCTTATTCGATTGATTGAGGTTCATTGTTGGAACCAGAGCTAGGGTGGCAGAAGTAATTGCTTAAAACAAAGGCCAGTTTGTTGACATGACAGGGAGATAACGATACGAAATAGAAGGTACACAAATTCAAAATCACACAAAGTTTTTTTTTTCTGTCTGTTTCTTTAAGACTTTCTTTTTTTAAATTATACTTTAAGTTCTAGTACATGTGCACAATGTGCAGGTTTGTTACATATGGATACATGTGCCATGTTGAAGTGCTGCACCCATTAACTAGTCATTTACATTAGGTATATCTCCCAATGCTATCCCTCCCCCCTTCCTCCACCTCATGACAGGCCCCAGTGTGCGATGTTCCCCTTCCTGTGTCCAAGTGTTCTCATTGTTCAATTTCCACCTATGAGTGAGAACATGCAGTGTTTGGTTTTTTGTCCTTGCGATAGTTGGCTGAGAATGATGGTTTCCAGCTTCATCCATGTCCCTACAAAGGACATGAACTCATCCTTTTTTATGGCTGCATAGTATTCCATGGTGTATATGAGCCACATTTTCTTAATCCAGTCTATCATTGATGGACATTTGGGTTGGTTCCAAGTCTTTGCTATTGTGAATAGTGCCACAATAAACATACATGTGCATGTGTCTTTTTAGCAGCATGAAAATCACACAAAGTTTTTAACTGGAGAGAACAAAAGCTGTTACTTGAAATATTTCTATAAATAAAGGAACATGTAAAGGAGGACTAGTTAAAACTTGACAGAGGCTTATCGTTTCAATTCAAAGATGTGGAAAGCTGGAAAGAATCTTTGCTCTCACTTCTAAAGGAAGAAATAAAAAGACAACTTGTTAACTATTTCTCTTGAATCTATCAGAGAACTAAAATTAAAGGGAAAACAATTGATCTGAAATATAAGATTTATCAATGTTGTTGCATAAATCAGTAGTTTATAACTTTTCATTGCTGAGTAGTTTGCTATTGTATGGATATGCCAGAGTTTACAGACACTTTTGTTGTTTCCAGTTTGGGGAAATTATCAATAAAGCTGTTATACAAATTGGTATACAAAATTTACAATCAGCTTGTCTATATTTACTTCATGGAGTTTTGATTTAGATTATATTTTATGTGTAGATCTAATAGTGGCAAATTGGCAGCTTAATACTGAGTTTTGCAGTCTATGAATATGGCGTATCTCTCAATTTTTAAAATCTTTAACTTTTTCATCAACATTTTTTGGTGCTATTCTAATTGATAATCTAGCTATCTATCAACTTATATCTCTGTCTATATCTATATTGTAGTTTCAGTTTCCAATTCTTCCTTGCTATTAGGTAGGATCATGATTGACCTTTGTATGTTGACCTTATATCCTGTGACCTTGCTTTGCTTGCCTATTGGTTCTAGGAGCTTTGAGTTCATTTAGTGAGATTTTACACATATAAAATAATGTGGCATATGAATAGAGAGTAAATCACTCAAAAGTTTTATTATATTTTTCCTATTTAGATCATTCTGGACTGATTTTAAACTTATTGCTATATAACTGATTTTATATACTGAAATTTCTCCTTTATATAGCTACTGAGTCTTACAACAATCCATGCATACTTTTTTTAAATTTTCTTTTTAGACTCATATTTAGTTTGCTTCAAAAACTAATTGCTCTACTTTATGCAAACACATTATTTTAATATATATTTTGTTGAAAAGATAGTATCCAGATGGTATGCAAGGCTTAGACTCTGACAATTTCAGAGTCAAATTGGGGTCAATAATAATTAAGCAATATTAGCTCATATAATTCTTTTAGTGATTTTATAGGTAGTATTTTGCCCACAATTTCTCAGGTAAGCATAGTACAGCCAGCATTTATATCCAAATTTATTATATCAAATCCATTGCTTTTAAACATTATGCTAGCTTAAACCAGTAGTGTAATTAATTTTATACATTTTACTACATGAAATGAGAAGGTTTACAATATGATTTTTTATAATTCAATGAGTGCTATCTGTGGTAAATAAATAGATAAAAATGTTGATTTTATCTCTAAATTACTGATCTGGGCACCTCTATTTTATGTTTTATACTTAAGGATTTGGTCACTTTTTCAACCTTAAGATCAAAGACAAGATACAGGGAATAATTTTTATTTAATCATTACTTTTTATAAAATATTATCTTCTAATTGTTATATCCTGAAAATTTTTCACAGATTCTGTCTTTCAAATATGTTTCTACTCTCCAGTGAGGATCTAAATTGCACACAATGGACAAAATAGTTATTATAACAAAATCCAAATATAAAATAAATATAATTTTGAAAAGAGAAAAAATAGAAAGAACTACTTTTATGTTCTTAAGATATTAATAGTTCACAGCTTTGAGAAATCAAAGAGTATCTGACAGTACAATTACTAATTAACTTAGATTCCCAGAGAGAAACATTTATGTAAACTACTTTCAGGGTTAAGGCTTTTAACAATTGTATGTTGAGCAGAAGATTATTAAACACTGATAGGCTGGTAAGGGTGCAATAAAACTTTATGAGTAGGTCAATATATACCTAAGCAGCTTTCCTTGATCATTATTTTGGCAGCCTTATCCAAGTCTGGTACAACATAGCAAAGAGAACAGGCTATGAAATAAGGTAAGTCTATGGCTCATATGTTTTTTGTTATTTTTATGTTTTCAACTAATTATATTTTTTCTTAATTTGTGTTAGCAGTATTCCCATCTATCTGCACTAGGCTAAAATAGCAATATCATATATTTTAAGTTGCCATTTGAAATATGTAGTACCTTGTATTAAACAGGAAAAAATATTTCTAATTTTTTTTTAAATACAGGATTTTTTTTGGCCCAACTCTTCATTATAACTTTTGTAAGACTTAGGTGGAATCATAGCAAGTTTTGTTTAATGACTCTATATGAAAGAAAATGAGTACTGATTAAGATTTTGAAAAATAGATGAATAATAAAGTATGCTTAAATATATTTTAAGAAAATCTATATAAAATAGAATGCTACATTTATAAAACATTACTGTTTTCTAGCTGACCTTTTAAAGATCATTCATCAAGTTGTTATACAATAAAGTATTATTCATCTTCATAATAAATATGCAGAGAAAGGGTATCAATATATATTTTCCAAGAAGAGTTGCTTAAAATTACTGTAATCCAAAATTACAGGGATCATATTTTTTTATCACAGTAATTTTAAGCAATTGTTTTAAATTTTGTTTTGATTTTTCTAGACAAAGGAGAGTTTGTTTCATGACAAAAATGCATTTTTTAAGACTTCCCTTATCAAAAAGGAAAGCACAATTCTCATTATTGACTTCTTGGTAGCAAAGTAGGTTATCACTTCAAATGAGATTTACACTTATTTAAAGTTGTACACTAAATGTAACTTTGTCATTTCTCAACATAACATCACGCAACTGGGCTTCATTTTTCGAACAGCTTTGTATGTTACCTGTTGCTCTGTTTACTTTACATTCATTTTCTTTGAAAATTACTGATGCAATAAACAGCTTACATATCTGGAACAGAAAATTGTATACTAAGAATAAATGCTAATCTGCAGATATTCATTTATAAGCTATACTAAAAAATTAAGTTTTTGCTTACTTAATATTATTCTCTGACTACTTTTATAATTTTTGCTAACAAGAATGTAACGATCTAATTGAGGAAATTAACATATACATAAATAATTGCAATGGACATTTAATATGCTATGGTAAATGAAGAAAGGCTAGATTAACTGTGCCTCAGAGTGGTAAGGAACTCACCATGGCATTTGAATTCAGCAAAATTTAGAATTCACCTAGAAGAGTGGATGGGGAGGGATTGAAATTGAACAGCAGGTATGAAGGCAATATGTTATCTAAAAATTATGCTGTGGTGCTGGGGATAAAATGAAGGCATAATTCTAAAAATACTTTGAAGATAAAGTCAGATGGACTTATTGAATGATTGAATGTTGTAAAACATATGGAAGAAGGAAAAAAAGGTGTTTAGGTTGGGACAACTGGGTACATGAGTTGACATAGTTACAGAACAGGGACCATTGTGAGACCAAAAAAAAAAAAAAAAACAAACCGTGATTTTAAACCCAATAATTTATTAAAGCACTTACTGTAGTAATTCTAAGTTCTACTTTGGTATATGTCTTTGAATTAAGATTTATACTAAAATCATAGAATACAGATAATCCATGGAAACTTGAGAACTAAGAAAAATAAGATATATGTGGTCAAAATTAAATTAAACAAATATGCTTTCAGATAATTATTGGAGATGTGTTCTTTCCTGTCTACATTTGGGTATCTTCCATATGCTACCTCAAAAGTATAATGTCTTTTAATAATAAATATGTATTTTTGATATAAGAGTTTTGTATATCTCATTTGCTGCTGTTTGATGAAGGAACTTGGTGAAAATTCAAAAGATTTTTAAACAGAGTAGCAACTCCCAAATATATACTATTCTATCAAATATATGTATTTATGTTCTTTTCGACAATATTGTGGAAAGTAGTGTTGGAATTAGAGAGAGGAGAGTTCAAGAAAAAAACTGAAGTTTTTAACTTTGAACTATAACTTATTCTTTGTTAAGCTTAAAGTTCCTGATCAGTAAAATGTGAATAACTATTTCCTTCATAGAATTGTTGTGAGAATTGAGAAACAGTGCAAGTGGAAGCCTTTGCCTTGCAAAATGCTCTAAATGAGAAGGCAAGACACACCTACTTGAAGATCTTTTTTTCCATCTGTATTTTCATCTTAGTGTACTACTACTACTGTAATGTGCATCAGTAATTCATTCCTTTTACTTTAAATTGCATGTGTTGCTTACATTTTATATCAGTATAAGTTTCAGGTTATTAAGTACATGCTTAATATATTATTAAGTAAGTGCTTAATTTAGGATATTATGTAAGTGCTGTCTTCAACTCTGCATTATACATAGTAAAAAAAAGAATATGTAATTTCATGAGAATTGTTGGTGGTTTATTATAGTTATATATTTTACATTTTAAATATATATTCTTTTCTGTTTTTAGATGGCAAGAAAGAAATTTAGTGGATTGGAAATCTCTCTGATTGTCCTTTTTGTCATAGTTACTATAATAGCTATTGCCTTAATTGTTGTTTTAGCAACTAAGACACCTGCTGTTGATGGTAAGTAGTACATTAAAAGCATGGCTACATTATCGTGAAGTTAGGAGGAAGTTACTCCACAATAGTTATAGGTTTTAAAAAATAATCTGTGTAAGATGAAACACTTATAGAAAAATCCAGGGTAAGTTACACAATTACTTCCACTTTTTCTATTCATTATATTCCATATTTCAATGATGAGCTATTGTAAGTAAGGAATCCATGTGCTTTGACATGAATTGCCTTCCCTAGCTACTTGACAAAGAGCAAAGAGGCAAAGGGATCAAATCGTTAATGTAAGGTGGAATAATCGCCTACTGGTGTGAGCATCATCTCATTAGTGGGAAAACCTGGGTTTTTGCTCCAGCCTTCACACACTTGCAAAGGAAATAAGGATTTTAGCAAATATTCTTTGTTCTGGTTAGATTTTATTTTAAGGAGAGAGAGAGGTTGTATGAGAAAGGCAGGTAGAGGAAAGTTGAAAAAAGACTTGGATAGTTTAATTATCTGTTTCTGAATATTTTAATTCTAATTTAGAGTTGGTACATACGGAATGCTGAATCTCTTTCTTCATTATTCTCTCTTGAGCAAATCAGTATTGTAAAGGATGTTACACATTATCTTCTAGACTACAGTTAGCATTTCCTATTCCTGTTAATCTTTTGTTTTACCTACTTCCAGAAACTGAGAGCTTACTGTATTATGAAGCAATATATTTTAATGATATCTCATTGCTGGAATGTTATTTATATGGCGTTGGTATCTACCATTCTTCGCTATTCCAGCTTTCTCTACTTTACCTATCAAATTATTCCCTTGCAAGGGATAATTTGAATAACTTTCACCTACTTTCCTCTTCTCTAATTTCTTCTCACCTTCTCTATATGTTTTTCATAACTCATATTGCTCCATCTTTTCTTCAGCTATAAAATACAAGTTGTAAATACAGTATGAATGTATATTTTGTTACCTTCTGAATCTACACCAAGTCCTTTTGTAAATATATTTTGTATTTCTTCAGAAACAGTCAATAGGATTCTACACTGTCAATTTTAAAAGTATGATTGGATCTTTTCCTTTTGATGACTAGTGCTTGAAATTGTGGGTCTTTTTAAATGCAAAATTTATTTTAAAATTTTCATTTTATATGAATTCATGTATTCTTTCAAAAAGTACTTATTACTTGATAATTCTGAGAAAATTAATTTAATGTCATGTTTTATTTTATTGAGTTTTTTCCTCCCCCAGAAATTAGTGATTCTACTTCAACTCCAGCTACTACTCGTGTGACTACAAATCCTTCTGATTCAGGAAAATGTCCAAATGTGTTAAATGATCCTGTCAATGTGAGAATAAACTGCATTCCAGAACAATTCCCAACAGAGGTCTGCAGCAAAAGTCTTTAATATTTTTAATGAATATATACATTATTATATTAAGATAATTGCTGAATATTGGATCGATCTTATTTAATAAAGATCTAGACATAAATTAGGCTGAATTTATCATTTTATTATAGCTTCCTATTAAAAATGATAGATAATAGAAGTTACTGACCTTGCTTTCCTTTATCTCTGCTCAATTTAAATTAACAAGTTAATATTCATCCATATTTAACAAGTTATAGTTAATTTTACAAATCTTCATGAAATTCTGTCATCTCAAATCTACTTCTTTAAGAAAGTATACCTTTGATAATATAGAACATTTAGGAGGGAGTATATATGTTCCAGTAGAGTATTTGTAATGATAGCATTAAGAAGTATCTGTGGAAAACAAAATACTCATTTTATGAAAATTATTAATTGTTTTTAATTTAGCAATTAGAAGTGAAGAAGAGAAAATGGAGAAAATTAGGTGTAACCAATTGGATTCATGTAACCCAAGTTCACTCTTCCTTTTTTTCCCCACAAACCTGTGTGGGAATAAAAGTCATTGTGTGTGGGTGTATATGTACAGTCCTTCATGGGTATCCTCGGGGAATTGGTTTCAGGACTTCTGAGGATACCAAAATCTGCAGATGTTCAAATCTCTCAAATAAAATGGCAGTATTTGCATATAACCTATGCACATTCTCCTGTATACTTTAAATCATCTGTAGAGTATTTATAACTCTAATACCATGTAAATGCTATACAAATAATTGTTATAATGTATTGTTTTTTATTTACATTATTTTTATTACCATGTTGATATTTTTTGTTCCTTGAAATATTTTTGATCCACAGTTTGTTGTATCCACAGATGCAGAGGGCTGACTCTATATATTGACATTTTGCAAATATTTGCATTTGCAAATATGATATGCAATTACAAATGTCACCTTCTCCACTCCACCTTACCACACACAAATTAACTGAATAAACTATAAAATTTATTTTGTCCCTATTCTGTCTTCCCTACATCATAGTAAGCATGCAATTTTCTAATTAATTTGAAAAAAAATTGAAAGAGATGAGATTTTCCTTTGAGTAACATTACAAGTAATAGGTCCTATAGCTTACCTGCTGATAGAAGAGCTAAATAACATAGTATTTACTGAGATACACTGAGGAAAGTGGCCAGATATTCTCTTTACTTAACCTTCTTAGGCAGAGCTTGCAGTGGGCAGAGATCGCGTCACTGTATTCCAGCCTGGGTGACAGAGCGAGACTCCGTCTCGAAAGAGAGAGAGAGAGGGAAAGAGACAGAGAGAGAGAGAGAGAGAGAGAGAGAGAGAGAGAGAGAGAGAGAGAGAGAGAGAGAAATGATTGAAGCTAAACATAGAATTCTATTAGGAACAATATGGGTTTTGAAGGTCTTATAGGGAAACAATATTTGAAAGTCAGTGGTTTACATTTTTCTTGCCTAATATTAGTCTTTAGTGTCAACCTAAACTGTTAGATTGCTGAAGAATGTTTTCAGTGTGAAATAAACTATATTTGTGAAGTAAGCAAGTTAAACTTCAGCCAATATATTTATGCTTGTTATTTATAAAAATACAACTTACAGTTTTAAAAGTTTAACTTAGTATATCTCAAAAGAATTTGAGTGTTTTCTTGACATTTTTAACTAGGAAAAGTGCAACTTAAAATGATTTTAAAGAGATTATCATTTAAATGGTATCTTATTCACAAAGTTTTGGATTTATATGGAAGCTTAGACTGTTTTTCAAGGCTAAATTAATATTCCAGTGTCACTTTGCTAGTTTACAGGCAAAACTGGAATTAGAACAGTGGTATGCAAATTTCAATGTGAGCTCATGTTTCACGAACTCAGTAGTCACTGTTCTTTAACTAGCATGTCATAATTTTCTAAGTAGATGAATTTTCAAGGTAGCATTTTTCTATTATAGGAAATGGATTTAAAAAATAAATCATAAAGGAATGAAAAATGAAATCTACCTGAAATTAGAAAACGGGCCTAAATATTTGCCTTTTTTTGCTTTAGGAGATGTTGCAATTTTCAAATATGATTTTTATTCAAACTTTGTCACTCAGGGTTTTTTGTTGTTGTTGTTGTTATTTATAGCTATGTATCTTTAATAATACTTTTCATTAAATACCCTAAAGATTCTTTAAAATACTTCAAATGTTAATTTTCCACCATCTTAACGGATCAACTAAAGCAATTATTTATCATCTTAAATATATACACTTACTCTTTTAAATATTTGAGAGGCATTCCATCTGACTAAATATTATTTGTTCCAAATGCAGTGGTAGAGATTGAAGTTGGTTAAAGTAATGATTTTCTAAAAATTTCCTTAATTTAAAAAAAAAGATTTATCTTAGGTTTTCATATACATGAGGATAGATCATGATTGTTAAAATTGGAAAATTGGTTATATTAAACTTACTGTATAAATTATTGTATACTAGAAATGGCATGTTTATTGTATATTAGAAAGGACATGTTTGCTTATTGCACAATGATGACAAAATATAGAATAATCAAATGGTTACCTAGGTAACAGGCATAATTCCATGCAAAGTGCATTAGCTCGGGCTGCCATAACAAAATTCCGCAGAATGGGCAGCTTAAACAATATCAATTATTTTCTCACAGTCTTGGAAGCTAGATGTCCAAGATCAAGGTGTCATCAAGGTTGGTTTCTAGTGAGGCCTCTCTTTCTCGCTTGTAGACAGCTTCCTTCTCATTTTGTCCTCACATAGTATTTCCTCTTCGTGCACAGAGAGAAAGAGATCTTCGCTGTCTTTTCCTCTTCTTATAAGGACACCAGTCCTAATGAATTAGGGCCCCACCCTTATATCCTTATTTAAACTTAATTAACCCCTTAAAGGACCTATCTCCAAATACCTTCACATTGGGGGTTAGAGCTTCAACATATGAATTTCGGGGGCATAATACAGTGAATATACATATCTACATATTGAATACACATTATATATTATTACATATGAAATTATTACATTTAATATATAATCACTTATAATGTATATACATATATATGATAAAATATGTTAAAATATGATAAATTTATTATACCTTTATTTGCTAGAGTTTAACTGTGTCAGATGAAGGCAAAAGGAAAATAATTAGATGAGAAATTAAAAATAATGAGGAAAATGCCTAAAACCCTGAAAAATAGGAAGACCAACTAAACATAAATAACAAGTATCAAAATCTTCGCAAGATAAATTAAAATTACTAATATTTTGAAAGCAACAACAGGGAGATACATTTTTAATTAATATGTTGGAGTGTATATGTAGTAGGTTAAATAATGTTTTCCAAAAATTCGTGTCTACTTGGAATCGCAGAATATGAGCTTATCTGGGAATATAGTTTTCCAGAAGCAATTAGTTAAGATGTAGTCGTAGTAAATTAATTTGGGCCTTGCGTCGAATGACTAACGTCCTTATAAGAGGAAGGAACCACACACAGAGACAGACAGGGAAGAAAGCCCTGTGAAATGGAAGCAAAAATTGGAAAAAGGCGCCTATAAGCCAAGGAATGCCAAGGATTGCCAGGAGCCACTAGAAGCTAGAGAGAGACAAGGGAGAATTATTTTGTGAAGCCTTTGGAGGCAGCATGGCTCTGCTGACACCTTGAGTTAGGACTTACAACCTCCAGTACGGTGAGAGAGTAAATTTCTGTTGCTTTAAGTCACCTTTTCCATGGTTGTTATGAAAGACATAGGAAACTAATATGGCATATTTTCAGGAAATTAACGTAAGCCTATTTTACTATATATTTTTAATTATGTAAATTGTGATTATAGTGTGCTTATTTCTTTCCTCTTATTTTTTAAACTTAGCACCTTTGTGTGTTTATAGATGTATTTATATAAATGTATTTAGAGTTTTATATACAAATCTTTCATAGAGACTGCTGTAAGTAATTTTTTTTGTAGAATTGTCTCTTTGTATTGCTAGGTATTTCTACAGGTTAGATAACTGGAGATAAAATTGCCTGATCAAAAGTTGCACACACTTTAGACTCTAATAAGTTATTAGATCCAATTGTACCCCAGTTTGCAATGTATATGTGTATATGTGTGTTTGGGTATAAATATATAAATACATACTCAAACACACACACACACACATATATATATATATATATATGGTGTTTAGAGAGATTTTATATATATAATATATGTATATATACATATATAATTATATATGTATATAATCATATATGTATATTTATTATACATAAAAATAAAACTATGTGTATTTTTATTCTATATAAACATATTTTATATATAATATATACTTTATATATAAATAAATATATCAAAATATATTTTATATATAATAAATATACATATATCCCATATACTTATCTATTTAAATATTATATAAAATATATAAATATATAGTACATATACTATATATATTATATACGTGTGTGTGTGTGTCTGTATCTGATACCATTTTAATTTGAGGATAAAATAGGAGAAAGGTTAGTGCACACTTTCAGCTGATTAAAATGGAGGCTTTTAAAAACTTATTTTCATGGAAAGTAAGCAAAGGGGAAAATCCTACAATTTTTCAAATTATGAAAGTGTGTCACACTATTAAATTTACATAGATTTATAATTATACTGCTATTCATGCATAGCATCACTATTTTGCTAAACTATTTATAAATAAACATTTATAATTTTTCTTTCACTTCAGATAGTATTTCCATATGGTTAATAAAATTACTGAGAATTCAGTATTTTGCTTTATTAATTGAATGCTATTGCAGCAACTACTTGTGATACCTGGCACATAAACTAGTTAAGATAGTTTAAATAATTAAATATGAACTAGTAAGTAGGTAGAATTAAATCCCTTACACATTTTAAGTGGGTTTAAATTCAAGGCCATATTTTCATCCTCCTAGTTTAAATTTCAGCTTGATACATAATTAGTACAAAATAAATATTTCAGTTCTTCCATGTCAATACCATGGCAACAGAATAAATTATAATTACTTAGAGATCAGGTTCCTTTAAAATACATAAGCTTACAAAAATTTGTATAGATACGTGATTTTAATAATCACATCTCAGGTTATAAATTTCTGACAGGGTGTAATTAATTCAATTTATTAAATACTTGTATTTCTTCCAGGTAGAAGAAACAAAAGAGCAAATGCTATTTTGGCATATTATACATTTGAAAAAGTTAGATTATTTTAAAATATTCATTCCTTGGAAAAACAGAGACTGGGACATCTGATAATAGTAGTAATTATATAATTCCTTTA